>NC_000013.11:84980253-85133094 GCF_000001405.40 Homo sapiens
TCATGAGAACTCACTCACTATCACAAGAACAGCAAGGGGAAAATCTGCGCCAATCATCCAATCACCTCCTACCAGGCCCCTCCTGGGGCTTACAATTTGACTTAAGCTTTGGGCAGGGACACAAATCCAAAACATATCAGCTTGTTTACTTAATATAATCATCTCCAGTTCAATCCATGTTGATGCAAACGACAAATTTTGATTCTTTATCAATATTCCATTATGTGTACATACCACATTTTCTTTATCCATTCATCTATTGAGAGCTAATTAGGCTGATTCCCTACATGGCTATTGTGAATCATGCTGCAATAAACATGGGAGTGTAGATATCACTTTAATGTATTGATTTCCGTTCTTTTGGATATATACCCACTAGTTGAATTGCAAGGTTACATGGTTGCTTTATTTTTACTGTTTTTCAGGAATGTCTATACTGTGTTCCATAGTGGCTGTACTAATTTACATTTCCACCAACAGTGTATGACAGTTCCCCTTTCTCTACATGCTCGCCAGCACCTGTTATTTCCTGTCTGTTTGATAAAAGTCATTCTAACTGGAATGAGATGATATCTAATTGCAGTTTTAATTTGCATTTCTTTCATGAGTAGTGATGTTGAGTACTTTTTCATATAGCTGTTAGGCATTTGCATGTCTTCTTTTGAGAAACATCTTTAATCAAGTTTTGAAATTAACTGTGATAGGATAAAAGTTTTGAGAAATTGAAATAGAATGATATCATCAATATATGCTACACTATTGAGCAGAAAATATTATAATTGTGATTATATAACCTAGGCTATCAGCCAATAAGAAACAGTCTCTTGAAATAAGAGATAATTAATTTTTACAAAGAAGATACAGACATATAGCTGTGGAAATTCCATATATCCAAATCAGGTAAAGGTTAAAAGAGATGTTCAAATACAACATAGAGAAGTGTTATTAAAAGAGAAGTGGATTGTTTTCACCTTATTATTGTATCATAAATGAACCGCACTTAGAGCCAAACTGTCATCAGTGTTCTTTCTTTTCTTTTTATTTTTTGGATTTCTCCGGGCCCCACTAAACTCTTCTGCTGTTCATCTTGCACATACTCAAATTTCCTTTTCTGTCTAGTGAACCATTCTCATAACTGTTATCATTCAAAATGTAAATCACGCTTTATGAAATTTAGGCTTAAATTTGTTTAATTCCTGTGTACACAAAGTGAAAATAAAACTTTTATATTATTGTGCATTATAAGGTGCGTATTTATTTAACTTCATCCCTTAACCATGTCACACTCTAAGATCTGGAACTATTTTTAGCTCCCTGCCTATTATTTATCTGTATTCTAGGCAAGTAATAACTGCCTCTAAGATGTTTGATCCCATACATTTCTTAGCTAAGCTCTCCACTCTTGACATTAATTTTTCTAGAAATCCTTTCCAATCGTCATTCAACAATCGTCTCCGTTGTCTTTCTTCTATAAACCTTTCGAAAAGCTCAAACAAACCAGCTTTTACACTGAATAAAAATTGATTGCTTCTTACACTGTTAGCAATTTGAGAGTATATTTGCCTTTATTTCCCCATTATTTAGCCTGGTACTTAAGTCATAAAGGTCCTAAACATCAATTGGATATGAATTAATGATAGTCATTTACCACATTCTGATTTCAATGCACTTCAATGCTATCACACATTAAATTAGGATGGGTTAACACAAACAGTGGTGGTAATGAAATAAATTATATATTAAAAACTTTTATTATAGAGCAATATGGTTATATTAAGATATTTTTGATAAGGAAAGACATAGACATAGATATATTACACAAACAGACATGCATATATGTGTATTTATTACATTCCTTATAGTCAAACATAATTGAAACATGTACATATTGCAGCCTAAAATTGTAGAGTAAATGTCTTCCTTAGGTATTATCAAAGTGAGAGTAAATTGCTTGCAGACAGTTTGTTGCCAGTTATTGGAACATTTTAAAAGGGTTATTTTGTTAAACTTATACCCTAAGTCTATTAAGTGTCCTATAGTTCCAAAGCAACAAGCCACTGTAATTTATCATTTAATTTTGTTAGTTACTGATTTGGTCTATGTAGCCATGAGTAAAATCGGCCATTTTTGGGGGGAAATATTGAAGATTTGATACTCATTCAGCTGTAACTATGAAAAGCCTCAGAAAACTGGGGATAAGTGTTTTATCCTTTTCTACAAAACTACAAATGCACATCTATGAAAGTTTCTAATATATGTGAATTCATGGTCCCTGAAATCTAAAGATAGTGACTCACATTGATTATTCTATTCATTTTCTTCATGCCGACTAAAAATTAGCTCAAATTATGAGTACTAAAAATCATCACTCACATCTGCTTTTTAGTTGCTTATTTTTTATGTTTACCTGATAAATATTTCTTTGATCATTCTTTATAATCTATACTGAGATAAAAACTATATGTGAATGCATTCTTTGATAAAAATGAAATTTAAATGTTTTACTGATTATCATTCTTATTTCACTAAAAACTTTTTAGTTAAAGATGTTTGAGAGTCATTTGAATAAGGAATGAAGAGGAATAGAAAAATTTTAAAATCAAACATCTAAGATACAGTTAAATAAATATTTTTATTTAAAATCACTTTGTTAGAATGTGCAATTTAGTTGTGAAACTAACATTAGAAACATACTCAAGGCTTTCAGTTCTGGTTCCGAGTGGAAGGAGATTAGATGTCATTACTCCCACCTTCAAACCCTCAAAAAAAAACACTAAATAATCTAAAAATCAACAACTCTTCTTAGATCCCTAAAAGGACTGAATTGCAGTCACAGGAAAATTGTTTCCCATAACATTGGAGAGAAAAATAGACAGATACAGAGAAACACAGCCTACCAGAGCAGAAGCTCAGGGGCAGGGACCTCCAAGTACCAGGGTTAAATAGTTCAAAATATGATAGACAAATTGCTAGAGGCTCAGTATAGACAAGCTTGAAAGATTAAAAAGTTCCAGAGAACTGAGTATTAGGTGAAGTTCTCTTAATCTCAAGAGTTTCACGTCCAGGAATCCTATCAAGTTCTTACAGTGAATGCCCAGGAAAATTCTCCTAATGCTCCTGAAAGGGGGATGGGGAATGATAGTCTTTCTGAAATACATCCAAAGCATTCTGTTCTCCTTAACAAGGCCTTTCCCCAACATAATCTATTTTTCTAGAGCCTATGTAACCTGAGGAAGAGAAATACCCAACTCTAGCCCCCTCTAGCTTTCCATGAGAGGAAATTAAAATACCAAAATCCAGGTTTTTCTAGCCTTTCTGTATAACACGGGGGACGGGGGGTGTAAGGAACCATAGGAAGCTTTGGAAAAGATAATAGCCAAGAACTGAATCTCAATACAAGACTGAAAATGAATAGAACTATAAAATATTTCTCCTCCATCCCATACCTTATCTCCACATCAGTAGGGCTCCTGTGTAGTAAGAGTGGATAGTAACAAAAAGAAACACATGTCCCAGACCTTATCCAAGAAATTGTTTCCATGTAAAACTAAGGTCAACAGAGTAGATTAAAACAAAAAACACCAAAAAAAATTTAAGTGTCTGAGACCTACAGCTATAGCTAACAGGAAATATCTCCTAACTCTTAGCCAGATAAATATAAAACTCTAGTCTCAAGGCCTGTTTACATCAGGTCTTTTTTACTAAGTATGCCATGTCCAGCTTTCAACAAAATATTACAAAGCATACTAAAAGACATCTTTTCCCAACTTGAAAAAAAATTTAAAACACAGTATAAAGGGAAAGAACAAGCATTGGAATGAAACTCAGATATGACAGAGATTGGGGAATTTTTAGATGAGAAATTTAAAACAACTAGAATTAACATACTTAGGCTCTAATGGAAAAAAACAGCCATGATATGGAATCTACACAAGTGTCCATCAATGGATGAAGGGATTTTAAAAGAATGGCATATATACACAATGGAATACCAATCTGCCATAAAAAAGTAAAATCCTGTCATTTGCAGCAACATAGATAGAATTGGAGGTCATTATGTTAAATGAAATAAGCCAGGCACAGAAAAACAAGTATCACATGTTCTCATTCACATATGAGTGGTAAAAAACGTTAATCATATGGATATAGAAAGTAGAATGGTAGTTGCCAGTGGCTGGGAAAGTGGGAAGGATGAAGAGAAATAGATTACTGGGCACAAACATACAGTTTGACAAAAGGAATAAGTCCTAGTGTTCAGTAGTGCATTAGGATGACTATAGTTAACAATGATAGATTATGTATTTCAAAATAGCTAGAAAAGAAGATTTGCAATTTACCTAATACAAAGAAATAATAAATGTTTGAGGTTACAGATATTCAAAATACCCTGATTTGATCATTACACATTGTATGCATGTACCCAAATATCACATATAACCCATAAATATGTACATATTATATATTGACAAAAATTAAAAAGGATTAACTGAATGGGTTGCACACAATGAACTACATTTATTCCAACATTCTCATCTCCCTGAGCTTTAAGATTCCTTGTTATATGGTAGGCCAGGGAAATTCCAGCATTTTGTATTCACTGAATCTTCACTAAATCCTGTTAACCAACCCAGCAGACAATTAATATTTCTCCCAGCCAACATATATCTGTGTAGGTTCACCCTTATCAATATTTTATGCTAATCAAGTCCTGTATTTCATCCTGCTTGCTCTGACATTATCAGACTTCATTTGCATGCATGCTTTATAGACCCTTGTTCATACAAATCAGTGACACCTTGTGATATGCTTAGTGTGGTGAAGCTATTTCGTCCTGGATAATACTTCCAGCTTCTCCATCAGAGCTATGGTGGAATGTAGTTACTATTATGTATATGAAGGTTATGAGGCGTGATCTTTTATGGGTCTTGAAGACATTCATTATCCCTTAGCAAAGCAACTCTTTTTTGCAGTTATTAGAAAGATCTTATAACAGAGAAGATGTGTTCCTCCCGTTGAGAGGTAAGTGGCTGCCTTTTCTGGCAGAGAGGCGTTTGTAGGTTTGAAGTTCTAAGACTCATCCATGTTTGTGCAAAATTCCTCAGATATTATTCTGAGTTTCTTTTCTTCTCCATCAATGCCTTTACGTGTCACTGAAATTCTGCATTGTCATGTTTTGGGCTCAGTTCTTAACCTTTCTTCTTTAAAAACTTAAGAGATGAGAGACTTGTTCTGAAGTTGCCAGAAAGGTTTCTGATTTTCCAGTTGGGCTCTCTGCTGGGCATTTAAACCTTCCAAATTGTTCTTTCAATCTGCCACCACTCTAAATCTATAAGAAGCGGTCTAGCGTCCCCATAAACTTTATAATCATTTTTGTTAAAATCTACAAGTAAGTGATCTACAAGTGTCTTGCTTTTGACCTGCACTTCATTCCTTGTCTGCAGAAATATATATTAGAAATGTATTACCCAATCGTCAGCTTTGCCTTAAGTATATGAATAACTTTATCCCAGAATCCCATTGCCAGGATCTGTTTCTGGAGCTACAGTATCAATTACTGTAATTTTTGGCACAGGTGACATAATCACATGAAGAGAATTTAATAAAAAGACTTATTTAAGCTTGGTAGAGATGGTTAAGAGAACTATTGAAGCACCCTGCGCTAGTCACAGAAAAGGGCAGGGAGAAGAAACATTTACTGGAACACCAGCGAGAATAATTTTATCTGAAAGCCACCATTCCTGACAAGAGCTATGTCTTTTGATAGAGGGAGACAACTCAGCTAGAGAAGCACAGAAGGCAGCCACCTAGTGGAACTCCTTCTTCAGACTTTTTCTTTCCTCATGCCTTAATCTCCAAGCAGCAGATGGAAACCATTTGAGGCAACACACATGCAGGTTAGACTCCCTGGGAATATAGCAGATTATAAAAGCATAGAGAGCAGATTTAGAGGGAAAATTAAACAGAAATACAGACTCTTCACTGTGGTTTTCCATTACCAATTACTAGAATAGCACAAGACAGGTATTCTGTTTTAGTGTATTATAATAAAATAATCCGAATATACAATACAATTGTAAATGATATCAGCAAATTTAGCCTAAAAGTCAAACTTAGTTATACAATTATTAATGCATAAATATGACTCCATTAATTTTCATGCATAAATGAGTTAGAAAGGAAGTAGTACATTTTGACTGATATAAAAATAATGTATTATATGTTTGAGTAGGATGTTTTAATTTTGACCTTCAAAGTTATAAACTTGTTTGTTATATTTAGCACAAATCCACTGGGTTAAAAAATGTCTCCCAGATATAATCCGATATATTATAAGTGTCTCCAATCTGAGGTTGTAAAAATTAACATCATAGGAAGGTATGTACAATTGATTATAAAATAAGCATGGATAACAAACAATTACTTTATTCTAATTCCATTCACGTTAATAGTATGAACAGTTTTCTGAAATTCATGACTCCTAAACATACAAATGAACTTTGTACATTTTCTCTCTAATCTTAGTCAGAAAATGTTAAAAACAGTCATTAAAATATGCATTTTATCCAATAACATGATTGGTACATAGTTTACTTCTGATTGTTGGAATTGATAATATTAATGAATAATGCTTTTCTTGAGCTTATTGGTTGTTTTTGTGCATACATCAAATTTTCTTGACGTTTATATATGTCAACTAAACAATATTATGCCAAAATTTTAGGGAAACTTTCTGTCATAATTTGCAAAGTCAAGCTATATTGTGTTTATTCATGCTAGTTTTTAAGTCGATAGGCCTTCAAATGTTCATCATCACAGTGTAAAAGAAGGTAACATAGATGTCATCAAATTGAGTCATGGCTGCCTAAAGTGAAGAACTGTTCTCAAGAAGTGGCATCCAAAACATACAACATTCAGCCCTCATGGTCAGCAGATTTAATTATACATTTTGATTCAACATTTCAAATGAATTAAAGTGAAACAGTTTTCCTTAAGTATGGGATTTAGCCTTGAAAATTCTGATATAGTGAACTCACCTCATTATATCTGAACGCAGACTTACTACATAATCTCTAATTCTCCCCTTAAAAACAGAAATGAAAAAAAAAGCCTAAGATAGCTTTTCAAAATCCACCTCACTATATCAAAATACATCTATTAATGTGTTAGAAGGCAGTAAGAATGTTAGAAACAACTTTTAGGGAAGATTATTTCTGATGAAATACGGCATTACAGAAAGCAAGGTTTTCCAGCACTGTCTCAATTGATTTCTGACTCTTTCTCTTCCTTACAACCAAAATTTGAGTTTTTACAAAAGCTAGCATGTGTACACACAGTTTATATAGAGTTAAACTACCTGTGAATTAAAGTTAGTATTTTTTTGACATATGTAAACACAATAAACAAAATTTGATATATGAGGGAAATAACAAATGCAGCAGGAGGAAAACAGTAATATACTTTTGTTTAAATGAACAAAGTGGACAATATTTTTCACCTGAATGTGAACCCACATGGAAAACTAACTGAAATAACACAAGTATACTCCTATTCTTGAATGCCAGAACTATGTTTTGAAAAAATCCTTCATCAATAACGTGAGTATTGATTTTTTCACATCATTATTTTAGTAATTTTAATTTCTACTTAGTATATTAGTGTTATTGTTAGTATTTTATAGTAACTTTATTTTATTATTAAATGTATGCTATTGCCAGGCTCGGTGGCTCACGCCTGTAATCCCAGCACTTTGGGAGGCCCAGGCGGGTGGATCACCTGAGGTCGGGAGTTCGAGACCAGCCTGACCAACAGGGAGAAACCCTCTCTCTACTAAAAATACAAAAAAGGATTAGTCAGGTGTGGTGGCGCATGCCTGTAATTCCAGCTAGTCATTACTCGGGAGGCTAAGGCAGGACAATCACTTGAACCTGGGAGGCGGAGGTTGTGGTGAGCTGAGATTTTGCCATTTCACTCCAGCCTGGGCAAGAAGAGCGAATCTCTGACTCAAAAAATAAATAAATAAATAAATAAATATGTTGTTTACTAGCATTATAACAATCAAATTATATGCATTTATTTAATCATTACAACATATTTTCTGGTACTAGATTACTGTTTTAAAGATTATGAAAATGAGACTCATTTTAGTGCCATAATTTAGTGTCAATTATGTTGCCAATGTAATTATAAATGTACAAGTAAATGGAGTAATACACACACATACTCAATTTTCCTATCATATATCATGAATAAATATAAGCAACTTTTTCAAAAATTTATAGATCTATTTATTAATTAAAGACAACTTTTTATTATATCATAATATATTATGACATTTCTTAAAGTAGCGCAGATTTTTAAATACATATATATACATACTCATTGATTTAAAATGCTTTTTCCAGAAAAAAAAACTTATACTTGCAAGATTTTGCTTAATAATATGGTTTTTATAATTATATTACTTTTCTTCATGGGTTTTAAATTTCCAAGATTTCCTACTATCACCTTTCTTTGCTGTAACCAATTTGTTTTAACAGTGTTGACAGGAGCACTGTTAGAGATACAGAGATTGAATCCCTGAGGAAAACGTGATTCAATTTCATGCATGAATGTTCATCTTAAAACTAACTTATTAAACTAAGGTAGGTTTTAAAAATGGCTCTAATGTTTAAAAAAAATAACAGTGACTCAAAGGAAAAGATTCCATGTAAAGCAAATGTCTATCTCTTAATCAGCTTCTTGGTGATATGAATTGATCCTTTTGCCAAAAAATAATTTTCGGTGAATAGAATTCTACATATCCAAGTGGACTAAATCCAAATGACCATTTTCTTTCCTATTATTTTTTCAATATTATAGTTAAGTCTTAAGATTAATATTTTTATATTGTTTTGCATTGTTTTATTGGTTGGTGAGTTGGCTAGCTTTGTGCTTTTAGGAGTTTTAATTACATATACTCTTCTTTTTGTTGGAAAGGTATCATCAGTCTGGACAAAGCCTCTAATATTCTCATCCACTTGCAATTTTCCTTCAGATGGATGTTCACATTTGTGTATTTTAATGTTAAGTCCTCACCATGTATACATTTTAAAGAATATATGGTATTAGATTCTTTATATATTTTTATTTATATAAATTCTTTTGTAGGCTGTCATTCTGTTTCTTACTTTTACATTATACATAATAAATTTTTAACACACATCTAAGTTGCTATACATACATCGACTTTGTCAATTCTGACTCCCACAAGTAATTTCAATATATGGAATGGCCTCATTCATCTTATCCAGTGCCCTAGTGATGGCATACAGATTGCCACTAGCCCCCTATCTTTGTAAACATAATGTGAGAAAAATCTTTGAATGCATCTACTTACAGAATTTGTTTGAGATTGTCTAGTTCTGTATACCTAGAAATGGTTTTAAAGAGTACTAAAGAAACAAGTATTTTCACAATGTACCACCAGATAGTTTACCAGAATTTCAATTACATCTTATGTATTAGTTAGTTCTCACACTGCTAGTGAAAACATACTCGAGACTGGGTAATTATAAAGGAGAGGCACCGTTCCACTTGGCTGGGTAGACCTCACAATCATGCAGGAAGGCAAGAAGGAGCAAAATCATGTCTTACATGGCAGCAGGGAGGAAAGAGCTTGTGCAGGGAAACTCCTCTTTATAAAACCATCAGATTTCATGAGACGTATTCACTATCACGAGAACAGCATGAGAAAGATCTGCCCCCATGATTCAGTTACCTCCCACGGGGCCCCTCCCATGACACATGAGAATTATGGGAATAAGAATTCAAGATGAGATTTGGGTGAGGACACAGCCAAACCATATTACCTTGTATTTCCCTTGAACTGTGCATGAAAATGTTATCTTCAATGCATTCTTGTTTACCTTGGAATTGTCTTAACATATTCTAAATATTAGTTGACATCTTTATGATATGACCTTGGTCAACTCAGAGACAGAACGAATCTCTCAATTTACTTATGACTTATTTTACACCAATAAGTAGGATTTGAGAAATTTCTCATAAAGAATCTAGGCATTCAGTGGTAGACAATAGATATTTTCTAGATTTTAATGCCATTTGCAAATAGTTTAAATATTCTATTCCCATTTGTTACTGTTGCTAGAGAGAAGCTCCAACTTGTAAGTTAATATTTTTTTGCAGGTTAAGTTCCGTGGAAGTAGACCCTTACTGGTGAGAAGCAAGACGGTTTTTCAGTATGAGCATCTGTGAAAGAAAGAAGGGTGGAACTGGAGAAAGAAAAATGGGCAGGAGAAGTAAAATATGATGCAGGCTTGATAAAGCCTGAGCTAACCTGATGGCAAGCTATGATGTGAGTGCAACCATAGAAGGTGTCAGGATAGGGCCAACAATCTGGGAATTCATACCCTTACCTCCCTCAGTTACTAAACTTGAACCATTCTGGGAAAGAAGTAATTCTGTACCAATTTATAAACTTATGATTTAAGAGACCAATAATCATTCTTGAAAGACTATCTCTGGGAGTCCTGAGCAACCATGTAAGACCCGAAAACTCTGATGTTACCATGCTGGCAACTCGATAGGTCAGTTCTCTGAAAGAGAGTACTGTCTGCATACAGTTTTCCTTCCACCTCTGCTAAGGTACGAGAGAGATAGGGGAAACAATTTTGGACTTACCAGATGAGTGTGATGCCAACCAGCTGAACACCAATGTATACCTGTAGTCAGTGCCACATGGAGCAACAGAATATCACAACTGATTGCAGTTTGAAATCTATCCATAAGCACATTATGTATAATAAAATGGTTGCTTCAATCCTCTAAATTTTGGAACAATTTAAATAGTGGTATATATGTAGACCATATCAACTGTATTAAAATCTCTATTCATATTTTTTGTTGCTATAATCACTGTAGGTAGCACCTGTTGAACTTTAAGTCAGGTGCAAAGCTATTGCATACATATTTGTGTGTGGGTATAATTGTTAATCCATTTCCAAATGCAAAGTTCAATTGTGGTTTTTATTAAGATAGGTATTGACAACTACAGAGTGTCATATAAAACATAAAAAGTATTATGCATTTAAGAGAATTCAAAATAAAAATTTTGAATTTCCTAGCATCTGAGGAAATTAGAGATAATAAAATTATATATTACAATTTATTTTATGTTACTAAAATTATATTCACATATATCCCAGCAAACCACTTCAAATATTGAGGAATGGCATGCAAGTAAAATTGTAGATATCAGAAATATTATTCTGCATGATGCTAAAGTGCACAGAGTAGTAATGGTGAAGAGGCATATCAAAGAATTTTCAATCAAACAAAGCATACCAATATAGAAAAGTTGCTTTAATACGTAGAAAGTCCTGAAGAAGAGAAAAACAAATAGCTTATCACATTTGGTGAAATTGTTGCAGTTCAGTTATACTGTTGTCTAGCGTCATATCAGTATACCTCGATAGTTTAAAAACAAGTCTTCAGTCTTATTATAGTACTCATAGGTTCCACAGAGATGTACCAATATGTATTTGTGTGAATGTGTCTGTGTGTATGTGTATTGTGATACCACACAATGTAAAATAAATAGGAAATATTCTTTACTGTATTAGACTCCTTCTTGACCCAGAACTAAATAACTAAATATTATATATAGGCTGCCAGTCAATCTTTCCACTGGAAATAAGAGCCAAAAAATGCACAAAATTAAATATTAATTTAGGCTACATACCATAATTTAATCAAATATTTTCATAGTCAGTTTCCTCAAATAAAAATGATAAAATGCTAATTTATCTCTTTTGCATCAAAAACATTTTAAGTTTTAAGAATTTTTCAGTTTACAATTATTGTCTTTAACATTGTTAGCTGCAACCTTTTATCAATATTTCTACCTACGTGTTATAAGCCTAATAGTTCTGTTATTTTCAACTGTTACAGGTAGAGCTTATTTTCCATAAATATAGAACTTTTTTGTTGATTTCCTCTGAATTTCCAGTTAAATTATGAGTAGTAATTATAAAAAGTAGTAAGATCTAAAATTAGATCACACATTTAAAAAGACATGTAATAACTTTTACTTGTTTATATATAATCATGGATTGTTATATTCTTAAATGGAAAGTGAAATATAGAATAAGAAGCACTTAGAAAAATACAGTTAATATAAAACTGATCTCATAAGAAAGACTATTATTTAGAGCTTTTCACTGCAATTTCCTTTGTAAAAAAATAAGGAAAAACAACACTGAACAAGCCTATTTTATTAACTCTCAAATCTTTTTTGCTAATTTTTTATCTGCTAGGCAATATTTGACTTTTCTTGATTTTTACCCTAACTCTGTCCAATGGTTTGAAACCTAAAATAATCTTGATAATTTATATCATTTTTGTATGATTTTGTGCAGTAAAACTATTGGAACACTAGCAAAGGTGTCTGCCCACTAAAGCTGAAAACTGTCACCTAAAATTGACATCCAGTCAAGACATATGGAGTTCTTTTACTAAAAAAGTATGCATAATAACCTGATAAATTTCCCCAAATCAGCCTTTAATTCAGGACCTTTTATTGAGAACATTTCTTTCCTGTCAAAAAAATTAATAATAAATTTGAATGACAATTTCAGTTGAATTTGTTCCTAAAACTACATGCATAGTTCTGATTTTTATACTCACAGCTGTGACATCTATTTGGTAGTATGATTTTTTAAATAAATAATTCATGATAGGAGCATCAGAACAAAGATACCAAAAATAGTATTCAAATGACATTTGAGAGTATAAATCGCTTTTCTTGAATCACATATCTTATTAAAATTATATTCTAACAATATATGAAATTTTGTAGTTATTGAAGAAATGAGCTATTATTATCCTGTAAATTGATAGCAGAAAAGAAGTTCACATTTCAAAATTCTAGTCAATGAATAAACTCCAGGAAATAAAAGAGTTAATAATACTCATATCAGAAATCATTGAATATTTATAATCAGGCATAATGTTTCTTCATCTTTATGTGCAATTTATATATTTTGGTTTTTAATATATTCACATGAAAAGTAAAAATATTTATTTTATTGTATTTATTACTCTATGTTGTACAGTCATGCATTCATTATTTAGAATAAAACTGAACTTAATTTATAAAAAGCAATTTCATAAAGTAGTTTAAATTTAATGATTATTTTTAACTTGGTGAATCTAGGCTACCAAATCAATTTGTCTTAGTTTTTTCAGGTGGTTATAACGAAGTATTGTCAACTGGGCGGCTCATAAGCAGCAGAATTTTATTTCTCACAGTTATGGTGACTGGAAAGTCTATAATCAGGCAGCAGAGGATCCCATGTCTGGCGAGGGCTTGCATTCTCATAGATGAGTCTTCTTGCTTGTTGTCACATGGTGAACAGGAGAATGAGCATTCTTGAGCCTATTTTATCAGTGCACTGCTCCTATTCCTGAGGGTTTTGCCCTTATGACCTAATCATCTCCACAAAGACCCTACCTCCTAACACCATCAACTTAGGTTTAGGATTTCAACATATAAATATTGTTGGGGCACAGATATTCAGATCATAGCAGGATTTTAAAATGAAGCAGGATATTCAAATAGAAAAAAATAATATTTTATCTATTTTTTCTATGTTATGACAGATATCCTGATATCTGAATTTCTGGACAGTTTTTCAATCGTGTATGTAAGTAACAGACAAAAACAATTACTGGAGAAGAAAGTTATCTTGCAAATATACTTGTTGGACTGGAAAATACTTTTAATAATATGCAACAAGTGGGCTGGGCGCGGTGGCTAGGGCTTGTAATCCCAGCACTTTGGGAGGCCAAGGCGGGCAGATCAGGAGGTCAGGAGATCGAGACCATCCTGGCTAACACGGTGAAACTCCGTCTCTACTAAAAATACAAAAAATTAGCCGGGCGCGGTGGCAGGTGCCTGTAGTCCCAGCTACTGGGGAGGCTGAGGCAGGAGAATGGCGTGAACCTGGGAGGCGGAGCTTGCAGTGAGCTGAGATCATGCCACTGTACTCCAGCCTGGGCAACAGAGCGACACTCCGTCTCAAATAATAATAATAATAATAATATGCAGCAAGTGGCCAGGTGCAGTGGCTCACGCCTGTAATCCCAGCACTTTGGGAGGCTGAGGCGAGTGAATCACGAGGTCAGGAGTTCGACACTAGCCTGGTGTGGAACAAAATGTAAGATATTTGTTATAATTTGTATCTATCAAATAATATATCTCAATGAGAATAAAGTACAACTTGCTGATAAACTGATCACAATTACCAATTTAGTGATTATTATGTAAGTGATACAAAAATTCCAAGTAGCCTTTCACCAAAAATAGATAACTTTTGATTCTTTCTATGGCATAGGAATATTGGTTGAATGGAATTATTCAAAGTTGAGTCCCTGAGCCAAAGCTTGTTTGGACAGCATGACTAATAGGCAAATTAAGTGGATAGAATCAGAGTGCAAAGTCCTTTCCAACTAAGTGTATGCCAGGAGTCTAAGTAAAAAGGCAATCTGTTTCCATATCCAAATGGCAAGACTATGACAGGAAATAGAACATGAAATCTAAAGATCACATGGACAGATAAACACAAAAATAGCATTACCAAGCCAGTAGCAGGAGGAAGAAAATATTCATGTTTATTACATTTAAAAGGATATCACAGTTAAGAGGGCTTATATATTCCTCTATTATCTGAAGTCTGTATAGTGCCTCAATGAATATCTTACATTACTGCATAGGAACAGGAAGAGAAAAAAGCAAACAAATATTCTCATTATTACCATTGATATTTTAGAAGTTCTAGAAATGCAATCAGACATAAAGCAAACACACACACACACACACACACACACACACACACAAATACATCCACATACTTAACATACATACACATGTACACAAGGGTAATATTGCATTCCTAGAAGATTCTGGGAGAGATAGAAACATAAGTGTAATAAAAATAACAAATTCAGCAAGATGTCAATATTTAAGACAATCCTACAAAAATGCAATTTCTATGCTTCAAGAATAATGCATTAGAATTAAATTGAAAGATTAATTTAATTTATTATACCAGAAAATTATGAAATCAATTCAAATAAAATGATATTGTACAAATATGAAAAACACTTATTAAGATAATTTTTAATAAGAAAATAAATGGAGACGCATCCAGAGTTTCTAACTGTAAAGATTAAGTGTTGCCAAATAAAAGTTAATGTAAATTAACTGATAAAATTATTGCAGTTCTAATTTGAATCTCATTGTGTGTGTGTGTGTGTGTGTGTGTTTGTGTGTGTGTGTGTGTGTGTGTGTGTGTTCTAGAGGACTCAGTAGAGTTACATTACAACCAAAAAACTGCAAAGGGAAATATTTTAAAATAAAAGAAAGAGTTAACACTATTGGAAATGTAAAACATTTTTGTATTTATATATAAATAAAAAAGCTAGAAATAAAATAAATATTGCAGAAATGGACTCCCGTCTTCGGCTTAGAAGAAGACTTCATTGATAGCCTTATTTAAAGAGAAGTTGTTCTCACACTTCCTTTTTAAGTTAACTTCTTTCATTTTTACCTTACAGTTTTTTTTTTCTTCCTTGAGATGGATTCTCACTCTGTTGCTCAGGCTGGAGTGCAGTGGTGCTATCTCAGCTCACTGCAACCGTTGCCTCCCGGATTCAAGTGATGCTCCTGCCTTAGCCTCCAAGTAGCTGGGAGTACAGGCGTGCGCCACCATGCCTGGCTAATTTCTGTATTTTTAGAGAGGAGAGTTTCACCATGATGTTCAGGCTGGTCTCGAACCCCTGACCTCAAGTAATCCACCCAACTCGGCCTCCCAAAATGTTGGGATTACAGGCATGAGCCACCACAACTGGCCTCGTTTTTATTTTACAGTTTTAATTACTGTCATATTTCATACCTTGTTTACATGTTTATTCTCCACGTACTTCAAATAAAACAAAATCTGCCATGAGAGGCTTCTTTTTCTTTCCACTGCTACAAAGGTTGGGTCTGCAAGACCACCTGATCTAATAAATACATGCTAATAAAATGACTAATACATGTGATAAAAATAAGAGTCCTAGGTTAATGGGAAATCGGAGATTACCCAATTGTTACTGATGACTTGCATTTTCAAAAGCATAAAAAGATTCTAATCTAACCAGTTTTACAAAATAAGGTCTATTTCAAATAAGGGGTATATTGAAAACCTTTAATAACACAGTAATTATTCAATAAACCATGAAAAGTGAAGAAATGTCAAAGTCGTTAAAATAAATTATTAAGGAAGTTCCAGAAAATTTAGGTTGAACTTTCTTAAACTATTTTAAAGGAAAAGGTTATATAACTATGTTTTCTATTGGAAGATGCTGAATATTAAGGCTTTGCATAATGTGATATATGTATCTTCATCTGTTTAGAGATGTACCTAGACTATATAGTTCTGTCTTAATAATAATCAAAATAAAAATAACTTTCATTTGTATATGGTTGTTTTAAAGCATTTTGTTAACATTGAGATTTGTAGTGTTATCATCAATAAACTCATAATCAAGGAAGTTTTTGTAATAACTTAAGACCCCTATGTCCCCCAAAATGTATATCAATTTATTTTTAATTAAGACTACATGATTATACAATTACTATAAATGAACATCAGTTATCCAAAATGCTGCATAATAGAGAATTCCAAAAATTATTCATGCAATCTCTAATTATTTGAATTTTGGGGCTCTTCCTGTGTCTTTTGAATGACCTAGATGGGATGATTCTGTTAGCAAACATGCTAATTTAAATTAGAAAACCATTGAAGCACTATTGTTCATCCTTCTCTTTAATAACAGAAAAAGACCAGAACATAAATCTCTCCCTCAAAATACTTTGGGTTCCTCCTCATTTTCTCTGTTTTTTTTTCTTTTTTCTCACTCTCTCCGTTTGATTCACAATAATACAAAACTCAACAGAAAAGCCAATATATTTAATGATTAGTTTTGCTTGTAGTTACTGTTGAAAAAACTCATAGAAAAAAAAATTCCCCATGAATGCTGTTGGATACTTAATTTAGTTGACTTATGAACACAATGAGAAGTCCTTTCAATAATAACATTTGGAGGCCAGGGGCACTGGCTCATGCCTATAATCCTAGCACTTTGGGAGGCTGAAGCAGACAGATGAGGTCAGGAGTTCGAGACCAGCCTGGCCAACATGGTGAAACCCCATCTCTACTATGTGTATCCACACATATTTATTCCTGTTAAAAATGTTAGTGACTGGAGGCGAAACAGTGCCCTTTTCTGGATACCATATTAAAAGTATATAGCAAAACTAGCAGGAACTTGACTCTAAAAAATATGAGACAAGTAGGTGTGGCAAAGAGGTAAAAAAAGAGACAGATTTGACCTGACCATCTTCAATTTTCTGGGTTACTTTTAATAATTTAGCAATCCTAAAATGTAGAGAATACTCGAGGTCTACATTTTCCAAATTTGTGACATCAGTAGTATTTAGAACTAAATTATTTAATGGAACCCATAGTAAAGTTTCTTTTCGATATTCATAATAAGAATCTACAGGTTGCTTCTGTATGCATTTGAAAGAAACCTGAACTAAAAATATATCATTCTCAGAAAAAAATATGGTTTTGAAAGTCTGAGACATATTCTGCATGTTTATCTTTTTATATCTGGTTGAAATGATTTCTATGTTAAGATGGAAAAATGTAGACAATGATTTTAAAAGGGAATAGTTCAAAATCCGCACTTTTCCAAGTGAACAATGAGTCATACCTTAATTGGATACTAAAAAAAATGTTCTCTCTGCTAATACTATTTTTAAAAAGTTAAGTGGCTATGCTTAGAACATTTAAAAAGGTATTTCCTAAAATAAAGTTTATTTTTTACTGTGGTTTGATTTGAATCCAAGTAAATTCATTTATTTTTAAAGGCTTAAAATCTGACTTTCAGTCTTTGAGGATGAGCTTCTTGAGATGATGTCCTGCGTTAACGTCCCATTTGCTGTGTACTTTCAACCACTGTTTATTTTCAGAATTTCTGAACTCTGTAAAACATCATTCGTCAGGAATCACAGGAATAAGGATATGCAAAGGAATTTTAAGCCTAATATTTTTTCTGTTAATGTTGATCTTTGGTTATTTAAAATGTTTTATGAAGTTTCTTTAATATTTTACAAATGAAAAATAGATATTTGGATATTCTTGAAATAACAAGCCAAGAGAAAGCCCCTTTTATCTATAAAGAAAAGAGTTTAAAGTCACTTTTAATTATAACTTCAAGTAATTAGACATTCAAATATATTTTTCAGGAATGTCATTCTTTCTATATCAAGTCTTGTTTAAAAAGAGAAAATTCTTAACATTCTAAAAATCATAGAAGATAAAGAGAAACAGGAACTAATGTAATAAAGTATAAGATTAAATTTTACTTAAGTAAGCCATGTTCAAAATATTTCCCCAAGCAGATAAATACTATATGTACAATTCTAGAAAAATATATACCATTTTCCCACCTGTTATCTATTACTAGTCTTGTTTTTACAATAACATGTTGTCTAGGTAAAATTATAAAATGCTGAGTTTGCCTTTTATTTTAGCATAATGGACAAGTAACTCCTGTTTGCATTGTCTTAACTTCAAAAATGAGGTACTTCTACATAATTCCCAGTGTTGGGAGAAGTAAGTAAAATAATACATTTAGAATGCTTTTCACAACATTTACTATTACCAGCACTATTCTGTCTTTTTGGATGGGGATCATATTATTTTTGTCTTTTTAACCCTGAAGTTCTAAAACATACAATGTCCTCAATAATTATTGGTTAAATTAATGAATATTGAATGTAGAAAACGTGTAAAACAATGTAGATTCTATGGGGACACAGAGATTGTAATATATAAAATATTTCTTCATCATGATTTACAGTTATGGCAAAATTAAGACTTCTACAAACATAACCAAGCTGCCATACATTATGTGAACTGGAAATGAATGATGTTAACTGAAAATGGCATAGGTATTTAGAAGAGGAGTCCAGTGCATTAGTCAATCAGAAAATCTTTCTTGTGCAATGACATTTGAACTGAGAAACTTTCTGCAGATTTTGATGGGTATGAAGTCAGGGGAAGTAGTGAGGAAGTGGTATAAACAAATGTAAAAAGGTTGAGTTCATATGGTGCTTCCCCTGCATATCAAAATACTGTTCACACCACCTCCTCTATAGGTTAAAAGAATTTTTAGCAATAATTATGAAATAAGATGAACAATAACAATGGTCAGAAAAGAAATGTAGGTAGTGAAAATTTTGACTGCTATCGTTTTGAATTGTTGATGCATGGGGTTATACCCAGGAGTCTGAATTACAGTGTTTCATTATTATTTACACATTTCTACAGACAGTGCACCTTTTTATTGCCTGAACCTGAGGCATACCACTACCACACTTCGCTCTTGGCACACCAGTGGCCTTAAGGACTCATAAATGCAAGATACAGGTTTTCTTTCTTTCTTTTTTTTTTTTTTTGAGACGGAGTCTCGCTTTGTCGCCCAGGCGTGAGTGCAGTGGCGCGATCTCAGCTCACTGCAAGCTCCGCCTCCCGGGTTCATGCAATTCTCCTGCCTCAGCCTCCCGAGTAGTTGTGACTACAGGCGCCCGCCACCGCACCCGTCTAATTTTTTGTATTTTTTAGCAGAAACGGGGTTTCACCGTGTTAGCCAGGATGGTCTCGATCTCCTGACCTTGTGATCCGCCCGCCTCCGCCTCCCAAAGTGCTGGGATTACAGGCGTGAGCCACCGCGCCCGGCCAGGTTTTCATTTAATTTAATATGATGAATGTATTTCATTCTATTTTTCCTAAGCACGTGTTGTACATCTCAATAAAAATACAACTAACTCCTCAGAAGTAATGAAGGGATAACTTTTTATTCTTTAAAAAAACCTTCGTGTTGTTTTATAGATAAAGAAAACTTTGTGTTGTTTTATAGATATAAGAGAATGATCAGAAGTAATATTTTTAAAGCATCCTAGTTTTTCTCATATATTTAAGAAGTATAAATAGCTATAAAATATCTTCAGAATCAAGTCGGAAAAATGAAGCTGAAATCTGAATTAAACTGGGCTAATTTATTTTATACTTTTTACAACATTTTTGTTCATGTTTTATTTTGTATTTTTGCCGGATATCTTTATACAGTTTAATATTGAATACAGCTTAAAAAAAAGAAACTTCCTTTCTCTGCACATCTTACACAAACCAATTATAAAATAAACATTGTGTTTTTATTATCTTTCTTAATACAATTTAGGTTAATTTAGGATAAACCAAAATACTCCTGCAGGAAGTAAATTTGATTTATATTTATGTTTCTGGCTTTGAAGTTCGTGCTTAAGAAATAGAAGATGCTTAGATGAACAAAATGAAATTTAAAGTGTTTTTCTGCTACAAGACTATATAATTCTTAGATCATATTCACAACTGAGTGTAAGTGATGGACCCCAGATACTTTTCAAGTGAGTAGTTTGGTAGAGAGACAGACCAAAAGCACTATAAAGCATTGATCTCAACAGGTGAAAATTAGAAAGCATATGTACAGCAAAGAAACATACACAGAAGGAACATACATTCTCTGACTAACAATATCTTAAGTAAATAATTTTTTCTTTTTTCTTTCTTTTTTTTTTTTTTTTTTTTTTGAGACCGAGTCTTGCTCTGTCCCCCAGGTTGGAGTGCAGTGGTGCGATCTCAGCTCACTGCAACCTCCGCCTCCTGGGTTCAAGCAATTCTCCTGCCTCAGCCTCCCAAATAGATGGGATTACAGGCGCCCACTAAAACGCTTGGCTAAATTTTTTCGTATTTTTAGTCAAGAAGTAGTTTCGCGGTTTCGCCAAGTTGGCCAGGCTGGTTTCAAACTCCCGACCTCAAGTGATCTGCCTGCCTTGGCCTCCCAAAGTGCTAAGATTACATACTTGAGACACTGCGCCAGGCGTTTACTTTTACATATATTGTAGAATGTCTGATTTGTGTACCCGTGAAATCATGTAACACTGATATTTAATAATGTATCTTTTTGGTAAATCACTTTTGTCTTATCTCTAAGCCAGATCACTCCATAAAGACCCTCCATGATTTAATTGTAGTCTTAGAATTTTGCTTAAGTATTTAGAGTCATTAGGCTGATTTTAAATTTAGCGAGCTTATATAACAGTGTCATCTAGGGAGAAAACTTAAGTCATCAATCTATAACCATAAAAGTAGATATGTGAATGCTGTATAAATAATGTGTGGTATTAAAGATTAAAAAATGAAATAAATGTACACACATGCACACCCATTTTAAATTACCTGAGATGAGAAACCTTCGTGTTGTTTTTATAGATTTGAGTGATCAGAAGTAATATTTTTAAAGCATCTTATTTTTCTCATATATTTTAAGCACTATAAATAGTTATAAAATATTTTCAGAATCAAGTCTGAAATGCTAACTTCTAATTGAATCGGGGAACAGGGATATTTCAAAGATTATGGAGGTATAGTAAATTCTGAAATAAAATTAGCATACATTTTTATATAGACATGAATTAAGTGTCTGGTTATGCACTAGTATATTTCTCTGAGCTGATTAAATTACAATGTTTTGATGAACGGTCTTTTTAAATTATGAAGGATGTAAAAATTGTAAAATGTTTTGCAGCTCTAGACATTACACAAAATGGTGTTTATTCTGTAAAACTAGATTTCAGAGAAAATTATTTTCCTGATGCAGTATCTTAAATAGTGTTGCCATAGTTTGGTTCCTCATTATACTTGACTGGCAATGGTGAGAAGTTTTTAATAAAATATAAAAATATATTTTATATAAAATATAAAAATATATTTTATATAAAATATAAAAATATATTTTATATAAAATATAAAAAGTATAAAAATATAAAAGTTTTTTATAAAATATATATTTTATATATTATATATATATATTAGAAGAGGCAGTGATTTTTAAAACCCTCAATTGAACCTAAAGTGCAATCAAAGTTCAAATATATTGGCCCCAAAGCTGTCTATTATTGGGAACATTCAGATACCCATAATGTTATTATTTTTGGCAGAATTGCCTCGCTACAAAACTGATTTGGCTTTTTCTTTAACTCCATATCATAAGGTATTAAATTCTATCAGCACGATACAACTACCATTGATCCAACCTCATCTTGTATCGCACACTTCTCACCCACAGTTTTAACTATAAGAAAAAAGTAGATTATCAACTCTCCTAAAACTGCACTTATGACAATATTTACTGTCATAAACAAATGTTCCTATTATATATGCTCAAATCAACTTAAGTACATACTTTTTCAAGTTATATTGTTATTAGATCGAAAAATGGATCTATTTCCTTTTTTAACTATTAAGATGAAATATAGAAAGTAGAAAGTTGCCTGTGAAGATATTTATGTTTCAAATGGATTCTTTTTGTTGCCTCATGAAACTCTGGATTATTTGGATAACATTAATAATTTTTTTTCATTTGCAGCCCACCCTTAAAATTTCTGTTACACATCTTTATTTATTACATATTTGTTCAGTGTTTAAAACGACTATTCTGTCCAAATCTTCTACATCCCACAGTATGAATGGTGTTGTTTTCTTAGGTGCTGTTTCTTCAAGAGGAGCTTCTTAAAATTCTAATTTTTTCCCATTGAAAAAATTTAAGTCACCTGAGAATAATTTGTGTTCATTGTATAAGGGTGTGTGTGTGTGAACATGTGTGTGTGAGTGTGTGTGTCTGTGTATTAGCATACTCTTAAGAATTGTCTCTCAAAGCATAAATATTCCCATTAAGAGCAGAAGCTAATTGACTAACATATATATATATTTATATATGTCTGGCTATCTATCATCTGTCTATCTACCTACCTACCTACTTATCTATCTGTATTTTAAGTTGGGAAGCAAAAAAAGAGAGAGGAAAATTAAACGTCTAACTAATTACAAGTTCTGTTTTATAAGGCCTTAATTATTAATATGGATTGGCAAGTAGAAATTACATTTTTTCTCAATAAATTTGCATTCTGGAACATTCAAAATGCAAATGTTGGGATCAGACAAAGACAAGTAAGTATGAGGTTTTCAAGAAACTCATGGCTGAAATGGCATATGACAGAATTGGGATGGTTGCAGTACAGTCAGATGAAGAATAATATCTATGACAAAAAAGGATTTGATTAATAAAATCTCATTTTTAGCAGAGCATCACTAGAAGTTAAAGGCAAAATTTTGAGAAACAATTTTGTCCAAGTTCTAGGATTTTACACTGTGTTCAGAAATAGCTATATAGTGTCTAAATTTCTACATAATCAAAATCAAATGTTTGTTTATAACATAGAAATTAAACAGCATATTTTTAGAGAAATATAAAGAAAGAAACAAGTATTCTGTTATCCACAAGAAGAATTAATCATATTCAAATGAAAACATGAACTTCTACATACTGTACCAATATTCTATGTGTTTGACAATATACAGAAATATACAGTTCGTACTTTTTTCCATTTTGTTGCATTTTATACTTCTACGTAAAAGTCTGTAAGTTATATAATAGTGATTCTATATAGCAAAGGTTAATTTTCTTTGGGAAATAAACGTTTGTGGCTTAGTTTCTTTTTAATACCTGGCTTTTCTGAAGTCATAAGAAAAATATTCCACATGTGTAATTGTAGTTTAGAAATAATCTCCCTCTAGGACCTTTGGTATCACAAATGAATATATAGAATATGGTAGACAGAATTTCTTTTTTGTATCGTATTCAACCCAAAATAAATAGATAGATTAAGCCTCACATAAAACTTTCATTCAAATCATCTCTAACACAGATAAATATAAGAATTTCATAATAATATAGTTACTTTTATTTTCCATTGGACATGAGTTGTTTCAAATAGATGCAACATACTTACAAATCAATTTGAAGTAAATCAATTGAGCACGATTATTTCTAAGACCCCAAACCATATTAATGTCTTTTCTCCTACATCTTCCAACTTCATGTAAAGTTATGTCTTTCTGTGGTGTAAGAAGTGAGATATTCTCACTTAGTATGAGGTTCAAATACTTTACTTCTGGAAAGAAAACTTAAAGCAAATAGGGTTGGAAGCATGACACTGAAACTGAGAGACAGGGATCTCCAAAGTTGAGAAATTCAGGTGGCAGAATGTCTGTATGCATTAACTTCAGAATAATTCAGCCTACATATTGGTAGCTATAGCGGAATTTACACCAACTTCCCCAAACAGAAAAAAAAAGTTATGTTGGAAAAAAGGAAAATGTCTAAGAAGAATAGTTTTACTTTCTATATTGGACTATGCAGATACATCATCAAAATGGTTTTTAGCATGTTTTTGTATAGTTAAGTACTGCATTAACAAGAAACATATGTTTAAGAGAACCAATCATCTAAGTTAAATTTAATCCATCAACAAAACTATTTGCACACACATGAACACTTCTTTTCATTTTTACACACACACACACAGCCCTCAGGTAAAATCCGATCTGCGAGATAACTGCACATATGCGGTATAGACATGTGAATGTAACCACAAACACACATTCCACAGAATTTTGTTTTCTAGGTAAACACATATAATACTAATGAGGTATAGAAAATCTCATATTTATTGGCAAATAATTTATGAATAATAGTATCTAAGGTATTTGAAAAACTTGCTTGAAAATGTGTCATCATATTCAAAATGTAAGACCCTAAAAGATTAATAAATAATAAAATTAAGATCTAGTTTAGCAATAGGTATGTTATACTAATCACATTAAAGGTATAAACATATATATATATATATATAGTGTTAATTCTTTATTCTAAAACTGTATATATGCATGCCAAAAGCAATTTTAAATAGCATTTAATTAAAATAATTAAATCTATCTGAGTATATCTGGTTGGTGATTTTATCTTAATTTTGCTCATCGGAAGTTTATTGTTACACAGAAAATATTTTCTTACAATTTCTTGAAGGCAAATTATGTTTTCTTTTGATTTTATTCAATAGAATATAACTTAAATTTTGGAAAAACTGGATGTTACTATAATTAATGACTGAGGAGCAGTATTTGAACAAGTGTTTTCTTAGAACCCAAAGCACTATTCAAACAATTCCCTAACTTGGTCTAAGAGAGTATAAGTTTGTTATTAATGACACATTTATTTGATATTAATACATACTCCCATTTGTTAGTGTAGTATCTTCTTATTTGTTAGCTATTAGTGAAATGTTAATAAAATCTGATATAAGCTAATGACACTTATTCAGGTTTGTATCCAGAATAGTATTATTAGTCAAATACTTGCATTTTCTTGAATATAAATAAAAAATCATCCAAAATTTTCAATTGAAATGCATTTAGAAAATCAGTAATCAAGTTTGGGCACAGTGGCTCATGCCTGTAATTCCAGCACTTTGGGAGGCTGAGGGGGGATCACTTGAGGTCAGGAGCTGGAGACCAGCCTGGCCAACATGATGAAACCAAGTATCTACTAAAAATACAAAAATTAGCTGGGCATGGTGGCATATGCCTGTAATCTCAGCTACTCAGGAGGCTGAGACAGGAGAATTGCTTGAACCTGGGAAGTGGAGGTTGCAGTGAGCCGAGCTCATCCCACTGCCCTCCAGCTTGGCCGACAGAGCGAGTCTCCATCTCAAAAAAAAAAAAAAATTCAGTAATCAATATATTGTTAGTCAATATATTTCACATCCTCTTAAAATAATTTTCTTAAAATAAATTTATGTATTTTTTTCAGGAAC
Organism: Homo sapiens; assembly: GCF_000001405.40. Classification (NCBI taxonomy): domain Eukaryota; kingdom Metazoa; phylum Chordata; class Mammalia; order Primates; family Hominidae; genus Homo; species Homo sapiens. The sequence continues at coordinate 85,006,118 of NC_000013.11, forward strand.
CATAGATAAATATTCCTATTACCTATCTAAATTTGGTAAATGGTATTATGTCATTATTTTATAATACCATTATAAAACTAAATTTGGTTTATATATTATATATTAAAATTGGTTAATAATATAATAACATTAACCAAATTTAGCAACATTATATGTTTAAATGTGTAAAAATATATATGATAATAATAATTTTATAATATCACTTATTTAAACATTCAAAGTTAATTTTTACTCATAAGTGATTCAGGATGGGGAACTATGTTGTATAATTAGTCTTACTTTAACCACCATACTTAATTTAAGGAGAAAAGCTGGTCCTCTTTTTTTTTCAGAAAAAAAAATATTAAGTTGTGCTTTACTACTTATATATTGCCTAGACCATTGTTTCTTAACCTTAACACTATTGAGATTTGGGGTCATATAATTCTTTTTTGTGAGGGCTATTTTGTGCATTGTTGGATATTTAACTAGTTATCCCGGCCTGCTACCAAACTAGATGAAGTAGAAATTCCTAGCCATGGCAATCAAAAATGTCTCCAGACATTGCATATGTCTTCTGGGAGCAAAATCATCCCCAGTTTGAGAAGTACTTGCCTAGACTCTTCAGCTTACAAGGACCTTACATTGTTTTGTTAAATAAAATACTGTAATTTAATTATTGCATTGCTTTACTACCAGATTCTGTACATTTTCAAAATGCAAATGCCATATGAATGTAAAGCACAATAAAGAATAGGGGCATTTTCATAAGCCACGTAGTCAGAGTGTAGCCTATAAAGAGTTGTCTTATTCTTATTTTCATACTAACACATCAAAGTAAATGAGAAAAAGAAACAGAAAAAAATTAACGTAGGTTTTTGCTCTACCTGAGGACTTTTTACTCTGTGCTGAAAACATAAGAATTAATATATTTTTCCACAGTCTGTTGTTTTACATGGCCAACCACTTTTATGTAGTATCAATTACACAGATTTTTATTTTTTTCTTATATTGTTACTACTTTTGATTTGTTTAGGTTGATAAATCAGATTAGTTGATACTTCCAAATGCATAAGACACTTTTCTGATTGGATTTTCAAATCCCTTTGGTGTTTTAAGAAGTTGTTAATGCTTTGTCATATAATGTATTATTGATACTGAAATCTTTTTGGAAGATATTAAACAGAACTGAACGGTGATTGTGATTATTGTAATTTGATCAAGTGAGGAGGGCTAGTAAATATATTTGTCTATCTTTTTATTTATTAATTTGTATATTAATTTTTATTTATAATTGACTCATAATAATTATAAATATTTATGGAGTACACTGTGATGTTCACTGCATGTATACATAATATAATGATCACATTGTGGTAATTACCATATCCGTGACTTTGAACATTTATTATTTCTTTGTGGTGACAGCATTCAAAATGTTCTCTTCTAACTTTCTTGAAATATACACATTGCTATAGTCACTCTACTGTCTAACATTAAAAATATTCTTCCTGTCTAAGTGTAATTTTGTAACCATTGACAAACCCTCTCCCCTCCTCAGTCTCTTGTAACCACTATTCAACTCTCTACTTCTATGAAATCATGTTTTTTAGATTCCACATACAAGTGAGATCATGCAGTGTTTGTTTCTCTGTTCCTGGCTTTTTTCACTTAACATAATATCCTATAGGTTTATCTCTGTTGCTGCAAGTGACAAGATTTCATTCTGTTTTATAGCTGAATAGTATTCCATTTTTTATATAGATTACATTTTCTTTATTCATTCATCTGTAGATGGACATTTAGATTGATTCCACATCTTGGCTATTGTGAATAGTGCTGTTCTTCTGCACTTTTGTCCCCATCCTGTAGAACTTGCAATCAGTTCCTGAACTCATCAAAATAACAAATTTTCTCTCACACTCTCTCTTTCACACACAGTCTATATTTATATGTACAATAAATATGAAATAATTATATAGAGTGTGTATTCATAAATATGTATACATACATAGAGAATGAGAGAAACAGAGGGAATGAGAGAGAAGGAGGGAGAGAAAATCAATAACTGTTGACGTGATGATGATGAAATCCCCATTAGTAATGGCCTAGACTTTAAGCACAAATAACCTTGAGGTTCTAGTTCCTAATACTATAAAACCCCTTCCTTTCTCATCTTTTATTCAAATGCCTAGAATTCTAACATATTTAAACCTGAGCAAGAAGACAAATCTTATGAGAAGTTTAACATCAGAATATAATCTCTAAATATACTTACATCTAATATTTGTGGACCACAGTCAGATTTTCTCAAGTTATTAAATTTCTCAGAAAAATATTACATTTACAAAGGAGCATCAGAACATGATTGTTGTCTATTTTATTTAACAAAGTTCTTCACATAATATCTCACCCTCAGAAGTGAGGATGAAAGTAATACACTGAAATAATACATATTCCTAAACTAATCACTAAAGTCAGTTCAATAAAGTAAAAAGTCATTCAACAAAGTCAGTGATACTGTTGAAAGGCATATAAACACATGCTCTAATAATGAAAATCTATGTACATATGTGCTTACATAACTTTTCTAAAGTTAAATCAAATTAGAGAAAGAGCATTTTAAGTTTTACTAGAATATCTTTGGTAATCATATACACACAGAAAAAAAGTTTGTATTTTTTTTAGATGAGATTTTATGATGGTAATAACGAGTGCTATCCCTCCTAAAAATGTTTTTTTTCTAGTTTTATTGAGGTATGCTTGACAAACAAAAGTTGCATATATTTAACATATACAATGTTATGTTTTGGTATACATATGTATAAACCATGAAATAATTACCACAATTAAGCTAATTAGCATATCCATGACCTCACATACCATACTTATGACTTTTGTGAATGTGTGGTGAGAGCACTTAAGATCAACTTTTTTTGTTTGGTGAATTTCAAGTATGCAATATAGCATCATTAAGATTTCTTTTCTTCTTCTTAACCTATAGAGGCAAATACCATTCAAATTTCAGCATTTTGAACAAAAAATTATTAAAGTATTACCATACTAAAATTATAATACATTAAATTCTTAAATCATGGCATACATTAGATTATTTGGAATGACCCAGATTGTCACCAGAAAGATCATGTAGAAAAATAATTAGACAGTACCAGTGTGGACAAGATGGAGGAGAGCACAGTAAGCACAGAGCAAATCCAGCTGCCTAGGACGGTACTACCATTGGCCGGGATACCAATACGGGACTCTAGTAACTGGACATGGCATGTCAGTACAAATGCCTTTGATTCTGGTAGGTCCGAGGATATGCGTGAATAGTAGTGGAGAGGGCAAACAAGCCAATTCTTACTCAAAAATGTAACTCTAATTGACTTTGCTGCAAAAACAAATAACTAATGGACAAAAAGAAGAAGAGAAAGAAGAACATAGCGGAGTCCTCAAAATTCATTCTCAAATCCAAACTGGGACACATATTTTATTATAAAAACCACATTACATATTCAGCAGATACTTGAAACTCAGTCTGCATTTCTCACATAGCAAGAAACCAAAGTAATGGTAAACAACCAAAAATCGAATGCAGGAAATTGTTTGTTTATGTGACACTCATAGCACTGGTCTTACAGTTTGTTCTTTAGAAAAACATTATTGCTGACACAATATAAAAATTAAATTTCATGGTACAGCCAGTAGTTTCTAAGTAAAGTCTTATCGGGATGTATATTTCATAAATGCCCTTCCTGTTTATTAGAAAAAAAAACTCTAAAAAGTACAAACTTATAAATAGTGATCAGGAAGATTGTACATTTTGTTCTTACTTGTAATATGTTTGTTCTTACTTGTTATATATTAAAAAGCACTTAAGAAACTTATTATTTCTTCTGCACATATGACCACACCTGAGTTACAATAAGTGATATTATGCAAACAAGCTGATAACCAGTGCACAAATAAATAGAAAAAATATATAGGTAGGTTAGATAATAAACAAAAGAAAAGAAAATAGTCCTCCAAACTAAATATGTGTTACATGGGCATTTTAAGCAAGTTAAAATATCCATCCATTCATTGAATATATATATATCTTTGTTACTGTAGACCAGGTGTTTTTCTACACCTTGGACAAACCTCAATAAACAAAACATACAAAATATATTACCATGTAAAGTTTGTATTCTACTAGTAGAGGAAGTAATAGTGCTAAAGGAAAGCCAGAGGGAATGTAGCAGAGAAAGAAAGTATAAAATATTGAGTTAGGTGCTGAAATTTTGCATAAGATTGCCAAAGGAAACATTGTTGCATGGCCACAACCTGATCTTTGTGTCGACGACGCAATTTTGCCTTCTGGGCTCTTTCTCTATTAAATAGCTCCAGTAACACACATATGCACACATATATTCATATAAGCATATGGGTGTATAGTTATACATCATAACTATATTGATATAAAGATAAAATATTACTATTATATATTAAAACATTGTATTTAACATAAAATTTTATGTTTTGAATATTTAAATAAATTAACATATTTTTGAAGGACTTTAAATATATCATTATTCCCTAGGTATTGTGTTTACTATGCCTAGGGGATGCATTAATGTTACTTAACTGAAAACATGTTTTCTGGGGGAAAAATGATGAATAAAGTATCTCAGAAATATCTGGGGGAAATCATGCTAAAAGATCAATAGTTTAAACAGTCTGCATTTGGGATCTTTTTTGGAATATACAAGAGAAAGCAACAAGTCCAATGTAAACGAAGTAGAGTGAGGAAAGAAAATGTGAAGCCAAGTAGGAGACCAAGTGAGGGTCCTGCTGGAGAGTCTTTTATGATAGGCCCACAGACTTTACTCTGAGCAGGAAGTAAAGTTGTTGAAGGAATGTGTTCAGCAGAGAAATTATATGACCAGACATTCATTTGAACAGAATTACATGGTCTGAAGGAGGCAAGAACTGTTATTTAGTCTCTTAAGATAGTACATAGGACGATGCTATTAAAAGGTAAAGATGTTTGGGAGGCCAAGGTGGGCAGATCACCTGAGGTCAGGAGTTCAAGACCAGCCCGGCCAACATGGTGAAACCCCATCTCTACTAAAAATGCAAAAATCAGCCAGGTGTGGTGGCGCATGCCTGTAATCCCAGCTACTTAGGAAGCTGAGACAGGAGGATTGCTGGCACCCGGGAGGTGGAGGTTGCAGTGAGCCGAGACTGTGGCACTGTGCTTCAGCCTGGGGGACAAAAGCGAAACTCTGTCTCAAAAAAAAAAAACAAAAATAGATATAGATGGTCACGGTAGTATTCTAGGGGAGAGGTAATTGTGTCTGGGACCAAGGTGGTGGCTGGAGGTGGCAACATGTGGTATTAAGGCAAAGCTAAAAGCACTCGTTGGAAGACTATATGTGAAATTGAGAGGGAAAAAAAGAGGAGTGCAGAATTATATAAGGATTTATTGCTGAGAAAATAAAAACACGCAACTGACATTTACAATTGATATGAGCAACTGAAGGAAGAATAGATATTGAAGAGAATGTTAAGTTTTGCATGTGTTATGTTTGTGGAGCTTACAGTTACACAAATGCAGATGTCAAGTAGGCATAGGATATCTGGACCTAGATTTCAAGAGAGATTTAGGGTTCATACATAGATGATATTTAGATACTGGGACTACATGAGATAGTCTAGAAAGTGAGGACAGTTTAAACAAAAATGATGAAGAACTGAGATGGAAGTACTCTAAGATATAATGGTGAGAGTGGTTGCTATGGTTTAAATGCCCCTTCCAAAATTTATAGTGAAATTTAATTCCCATGGTAACAGTGTTAATAGGCAGGGCCTTTAAAAGGTGATTAGGTCATCAGGGCTCTGCTCTCAAACATGGACTAATGCAATTATTACAGGAGATTACAGGAGTAGGTTATTTATCACAAGGGTGGGCTCCTGATAAAAGGATAAGTTCAACCCTTATTTTCTCTCTTTGTCTCTCTTGCTCACTTGCCCATCTGCCATGAAATAATAAAACAAAAAGGCTGCATATATCCAAGATTGTGGCATCTCATAAGATACCAATGCCACAATCTTGGAATTCCCAGCTTTCAGACCCAAGAGTCAAACTCAATATCTTTTCTGTATTCATTACTTAGTCTTTGAAATTCTGATATAGCAACAGAAAATGGTGTAAGACATAAAATTGGTATCAAGAGTGGGGTTGTTTTTGTAACACATACCTAGAAATATGAAACTGCCTTTGGAATTGGGTTATGTGTAGAAGCTAGAAGAATTTGGAGGACTAGGCAAGAAAAAGCCTGTATTGCTATGAATCGAGCATTGAAGGCAATTCTAGTGATGGCTCTGAAGAAGAAGGGAGCTGTAGAAAAATTGTGGACCTTCTTAGAGATTCCTTATACGGTTGTGACCAAAATAGTGGTAGAAACAGGGGAATTAAAGGCCATTCTGATAAATTCTCAGATGAAAATGAGGAAAAAAGTGTTGGAAACTGGAGTAAAGAACATCTTTGTTCTAAATTACCAAAGACACTGGATGAAATTGTGTCCATATCTTAGGAGTTTATTAAATCCAGAACTTAAGAGAAATCAACTTAGATGTCTGATGGAAGAAATATCTAAGCAGCAAAGCATTCACACCACTATATGGCTACTTTTAACCATGTACAATGAGATAGAAGAGAAAAAAAAGACTCAAAGATAAGAATTTATACTTAACAGAAAAACAGAACAAAAACATTTGAAAAGCTGTATCTTGGCCATGTTATGAGTGTAAAAGTATGTTCAGAAGATCAGACAAGTGTTGGACCAAGTGCCCATTTATTAAAGAGATTAATATGGATAGAATGAGCCAGGTGTTTTTTTTATCAAAGCAATTGGAAAAAGACCACAAAGGCATTTCAAAGATTTTTAAATCTTCCCCTCCAATCACAGGCCTTAGATCTAGGAGGGCAGAATGGTTATTAGAGATGAGCCTGGTGTACCCTCCACAGGCTCACTACCATGGCTGCCTCAGGACTCTGCTTCCCACATTCCAGCCCAGCATAGCTTTTCTGCCCTAGCTATGATTCAAGAAGCTCAGAAGTGACTCAACCCTCTGCACCAAAAGGTATGAGCAGTAAGCCTTGGCAATGCCCACATGGTGCTAATTCTACAGACATGCAGAATGGAGGAACTATGAAAGTGTGGCTTCTTCCACTTAGGTTTCAAAGGAAGTTGTGAACTTCCTGGAAGCCCAGGCAGCAACCTGCCACAGGAAAAGAGTTACTGCAAAGAGCCCTTACTAGGGCAATGCCGAGCAGAAGTATGGATTAGGAGCTGCCACAGAGAGTCCCCACTAGGGAAATGGGACCCATGGAAATTAGTTCATTCCCAAGAACACAGAACCATAGGGCTGTCAGCATGTAACTTCTGCCTAGGAAGCTGCAGGTATCAGACTCCACCCTGTGAGAGTTACTGGGTGGACTTACCCAACAAAACCATAGGGTAGGGGCTGCCTGAAGCTTTAGGGGCCTAAGCCTCCAGTCTGACCAGGACGTAAGACATGAAGTCAAAGGAAATGATTCCTGAGCTTTAAGACTTAATGTTGTTTTCCTTGTTGGATTTTAGGCTTATTTAGGACAAGTTACACCTTTTGTTCTTGCCTATTTTTTTTTTAATCTGGAATGGGAGTGTCTATTGTGTGCCTGTCCCCACCATTGTATTTTGGAAGTAGATAAGTTATTTTGATTTCACAGGCTATGGCTGGAGGGGATTTGCCTCAGGATGAATGGTGCTGTGAGTTTTATTCATATCTGATTTAGACAAGACTCTTCTGAAACAAGTTAAGAGTTTTGGGGATATTGGAATTGAATGAATGTATTTTGTATGTAAGAAATGCATGAGTTTTGGGGGGTAGAAGGGGCAGAATCCTATGGTTTGAATGTCTCCTCCCAAACTTATGTTGAAGTTTAATTGCCATTGTAACAATGTTGAAAGGGAGGCTTTAAGACACGATTAGGTGATAAGGGCTGTGCCCTTATGAATGAATTAATGTCGTGCTAGTTATTGTGAGAGTGAGTTTCTGATAAAAGACTAAGTTTGTCCTCCATTTCCTTCATTTTTCTTATGTGCTAGCTTGCTCTTCAGTCATGGAATCCTGCAGCAAGAAGGCCTTAACCAGATGACAGCATCATGCTCTTGGACTTTCCAGACTCCAAAACCATGAGCCAAAATAAATTTATTTTATAAATTACCTAGTTTGTAGAATTCTGGTATAGCAGCAGGAAACATACTAAGACAACTAAGTCATTGTATGTATATACTCTCTAGTCTAGAGCTGAATGTTCTAGAAGATTCCATTGGTATTTTAGGTATATTTTCATTATGAAATATTGTTTTACAGTCATTTGCTAGATGCCAGGGAGAATGTGCTAGATACTAAGTTCAACTGAAACTATGGATCACCTTCCAAAATATTTTCATTATGATCTATATGTCTAAACTAAGTATTCTCTAGATAAACATCTTATTTGTATAAATTTTAAGCCCTGTCTATGCACCAGGTGATTTTTAACAACTTTCCATTAGGCAATTTATTCAAATTCTCACAGGGTCTCTCTTATAACGTTTAGAGTAGATACCATTATTAGTATATACCTCTACATACCTGAATACCTCCATTTCAAGATATACTCTATAATTTATCTTTGTAATATATACAGAAACTCAAGATTAGAGAACATATGCAAATTGCTTATGTATACCTCCATAATTATACAATTGATAGGACCTGGATTTGACCCTGTGAAATCTCTTCAATAGGAGAACTCCACATTCAGAGTTCTCTCAAACTACATTGTATCAACCTTTTTACATTGTAAATATTGAGACTATATTAATTCTACTAGAAAAGCTTTATGGATAGGAGTATCTTCCTCTATATCCTATGTTTATAATTTGTGTATTTCTAACTAGTTTGGAAACATTGTACATGAACTTTTGATTTGATCATTTCCATTATAAGAGTTGTACATTTTTCATTTTCTCTTTAATGTTTCCTCACAATGGCTTATATATAATACCTTATCACTGTGCATTATAACATCAAAATGAAGCCAGAAAACATATTACTTAAAATAATAAAAGTCAAATCTACTTAATCAAAATTTTATTGTTGGACGGATAAATTTTCCTCTTTCCCAATCATTAAATTCAACTTTTATTTATAAATGCAATAAATGGATTCATGTGGAGAAAAATAAACACTAGTAACGAAGAATTATTCTTAACAATACTGATTTAAATTTTGCATTTGAAACATCTATTTTATGTTAGTGATAAGAATCTATTATTTAAAAGCATCATTGACAATTCTCTGAAGGTCACGTTTTTTGGCGAATCTATTTACAATATCTGAAAGTTTCCTCCAATAATTCCAAGACCAGATGAAAACAGTCGTGCACAGCATGACAACATTCAATGACAGACTGCATTTATGATAGTGGTCCTGTAAGTTCATAATGGTGCTGAAAAATTGCCAGCACCTAGTGATGTCTTAGACCTTTCAGATAAGATGTGGGAGTAGAAGAGAGTGACATTGATGATTCTGGCCCTGGTAGGCCTTGGTTAACGTGTGTGTTTGTGTCTTAGTTTTAATAAAAAAGTGTAAATAATTAATTAAAATACAAAAAAGGCTAAAGAATAAGAATATAATGAAATATAATATTTTGTACAGGTGTTAATGTGCTTGTGTTTTAAGCTGTGTTATTACAAAAGGGTCAAAAACTTAAAAAGTCTGTAAGGTAGAAAAGTTTCAGTAAGGTGAGTTTAATTTGTTGCTGAAGAAAGTATCATATTCTTTTATAATTTAATGCAGCCTAAATATGAAGTGTTTATAAAGTCTCCAGTAATGTACAGTAGTGCCTTGGGTTTCCACATTCACTCACCACGAACTCACTGACTCATCCTGAGCAACGTGCAGTTCTGCAAGCTTCATTCGTAAGTGCCCTATACAAGTGTGCCATTTTTATCACTTACACTATAATTTTACTCTACGTTTTTATGTTTAGACACACAAATTGTGTTACAATTACCTACAGTATACAGTATAGTAACATACTGTACATATTTATAAACTAGAAGCAATAGGCTATACTATATACCGTAAGTGTGTAGTAAGCTATAGCATCTACATTTGTAGAAGTACACTCTATGATATTCACAACACAAAGATAAAATTGCCTAACCACGCATTTCTTAAAATGTATTCCTACAGTAAAGCAAGACTGGCCTGTCGGTAGGTAGGTAGGTAGACAGATGGAGATATGCATACACAAACATTTACAATGGTGATTATATTAAAATGTTTCACTTAAAATTGAGACTAAATAATAAAGCTCAGATAATTTCAAATTTTTTTATTCTGTGGGATGTTCTGAAATTCCACTATGTTGCCCAGGTTGGCCTCCTACTTTTGAGTTCAAGCGATCCTCCTGTCTGGCCTCCCAAAATGCTGGGACTACAGGTGTGAGGCACCTCCCCAGCTGTGTTTTTCTTTTTTTTTATTTTTTATTTGTAGTTTTCTGCATTGCTTACTTTCTTTATAGTAAACATGTGCTTTTTACACAACATATAAAGTATAATTTCACAGAATAAGATAATAGTCATGAGAGACACATGCTGTGGAATACCAAAGAAAAAAATAGATAATCACAAGTCACTTAGGGAAGACCCTGAGCACAGAGTGCCATTTGTCAGAGAACACAAAAGATGGTGAAGAATTTTATGGACTGGAATGTCACAGAGAGTTAAAATATTTGCAAGCTTTTTTAACGGGATAAAAATTGGTTTTTGGTGTGTACTGTCCTTAAAACTTTGTGGTGAATGAACTGAAATATAAAATGACTTCTTACCTGAATGGTAATATAAAATGGTTTCTTATTCCTTATAATATAGTTAATAAAGACTTGGATTTGGGGCCTAGAGATGAGACGACTAAGATAAGTTAACTGAATTCATTTAAAAATATTAGAAGAACCTTTTATGTAAAAGGGAGTGTAATGGTAGGCTGCCTAGATACCCCACCATTTCCCAGTTGCTTGGAATGTTGGCTTAGGACAGTTTGCAGGTGAATTGCCTTTGAGGGCAGCCTGTATCCAATGATAACCCAGTTTTCTTGCATCAACTCAGAATAATTCTGAATAGCCAGCCAAGCTAGAGGTCTTCCCACAGGTTCGCTACAGCCTCTGTTACAACTACATTGCCGTTCAACTTCTCCTTCCGCTCATCCTATTTTTCTCACTTCTTCAAAAGTGTGAGTTCTGAGACTATTCCCCCAATAAACTGCCTGAATGTAAATCTCTCTTTATAGTTTGTTTCCTGAGGAACTCAACCTATGACAATTGGTACTGAGGTCATTCTAGGAATGCCATCCTAGGAAGCTGACTCTAAAATGCAGCTTTGCACCTGGGTAACCAATAATCTGGGTAAGAATATGGTCTTTGTTATGGCAGGTGCTATATTTGTAGTTCTTTTCATACTAAACTGGTTGGTTAAATTTTCACCAGAAGAAGAATAAACATGTAAGGATGTAATTTCAGATCACCAACTGAAATTAATGGGGGAAAGTCAGAGAGCCTCTATAACAATATAGAGTCATGTCTTGCAAGCAGAGTACAAAGCAGCAGAGAGACAGCCCCAAGACTTAATTATAAGGTGATCAGAACTCCAAAAGAGGTTGCCTTTCCAACGCTGACAAATCTGCTACATCAAGATCAGTACTGTAACTGAGAAGGAGGGAGACCCTGAGATTTAGCATTTGGGTTGATTCTTTTGGAAATTTTGAATTCTGATACTCCACTAAACCCTCTGGGTCTGCAGAAGTGGTCCACTCCTTCCTATTAGAATTTAGAAATGGTCTCTCTTCTCATGCTTAAAAGTAATGCAGAAGTCTTTACTTTTCAAGACAACATTCACCATCCTCAGGATATGGCTTATCGTTTTTCCTGGACAACAGATTATATCACAACACAACTCAACTTTGAAAGTGCTTGGTCTGGTAAAAGGGGAAGTAACCATATGCGAAAGGAGTGCATGACTTATGAAACACATCAACTTTTCACAAACCAAGGGAATACGTAAGGATCCGGATGCTAAAGATTCTGGATTAAGGACAACAGGCAATAATCTTGAACAATAAAGTTTATTCATATGGGAGCACCCTCCCTTAATAGAGAATTTAAAACTCTGGCAAGACGATGGGAGGCAATGCTAAATTTGACTTTGGGAAGATTGGAAAAAGTCATGAGTTATGCAACCGAAACCACAGAGACCAGAACTTCCATGAAAAAGTTTGGAAAAAGAGAATGTAGGCTTGGAGAAGTGAGTATATTAGAGTGATATAGTACATTCAAACTATTCATCTGTTTACTATATGACCTTCTTTGAGAAGGTAAACTTATCAAAATATCATGGAATGCACCAGTGAGAGGTCACCAGCTTCGTACAGAAGTTAAGAGGTAGCTACCTTTTGTATGCAAGAGCTGAAAGTAAGAGAGGCTGTGATAGTACTAGGTATTTCAATAGTATCAGTGTTAAGAGGATTCCAAAATATAGAAGTCAGGGGGCATTTAAAAACACAGAATAAAGGCTGGTGTACTTCCCATAATGGGCAGCAAAGTCACTGTGACATCTAAAAGTCTGACTTCCAAAAACTAAGAGATAGGACAGAGATGTAGAGAACCACAATTTGGGGGACAAACAAGGGTATTACCTAATTTATACAATCAAAAGAAATCAATGATCAATGATGAATGATGAAGTGTCTTGGAGACGCCACTTCAAAGAAAAGTGGTCATTTATTATCTGATTTCTACCTGTGAGCCAATTCTCCATTGAGTGATAGAAAGGCTGCTTTAAAAGAAAGTATTGATAATAAAAATGTACCATCAAAAAACATTTATAAAACTGAATAGACAAATATAGGTGAATAATTGCCCAGCAAGTCTGTGTCCAGAGGATAAAAAGGGGTCTTTATGAGGACCAGTTGGTGTGACCTGTCAGATCATTGATTCTACTTACACATGCCTTTAAGGGTTCTACCCTACATTAGTAGGACATGTAATATTTGTTTTACTGATGAATGTGATAAAAAAAGATCACAAACTTGATAGAAGCTGCCAAAGACAATGGACCAAATAAATCCTAAGGGAAACTGAACATAGCATGTTATTGTACTCAGAACAAAGGAACTCAAAGAGTCACAGTTGAAGCTTTGTTATAGTTACAGAAGAGCAGCCATGGGCAAACCTTTTAATAGTAAGAATTCTAAGTTTCTGTTTTACATACAATGTTTATTGGTAACTGCGGATATTCTGAGAACCCTGAATCCCAGGGCTGAATGGAGACAAAAAGAAATTATGTAGAATAAAATCTCAACATTAGCCCTGAAATAGCTATAAGATTTTATCAACCCTTCTGTAAAAATGATTGGTAATTCGAGAGTACCATGCATTTACATGGTAAAGAGGAAGGTTTTAGAATGTACAGGCTGGCTTTTAAACCTTAGTGTTATCAAAAAGCATATGACCTTAATCAAGATTGTTAGCCTCATTTATAAAATGTAATAACAATACATACTTGTAGAGGGAAGTTTTGAATGCACACACGTCAAGTGACTTGGACTATTTTTCTAGTTAAAGTTCGGGTCCTCAGGAAAGGGCCATGCCAACCAGGAGAACTTGATCTCATTCCCATTCCCAAGGGAATATAGGAATATAGAGTTTGTTGGTTTAAAGATAATCTCAGTCTCCCTTGTTAGTGATTAGTTAATGATGGGGCATTTTATACAACTTGAACCAAGTAGTCATGGTGAGAAAATGGCAGGATGTTCCAGAGTAAGAAAGTCTCTGGGGTTCTACTTGGAAAGCTCTCCAAGCTGATTTCTCTTTTCTCTTCTTCATATTAGTGATATGGGAGGGGGGCAGGGAAGTGCTGGGTAGAGAAGGGCAGGGTACCTGGCAAGGGCTCCAGCCTCGGGCCTGTGCCCACGGACCTAAGTGAGGAGAGGCACTCCTGCTTTCACGCCCAAATGTTGCATTTTTCGAGACCACTCTGGCCCAGCACACCCCACATCCTGTGCCTATAAAAACACCAAGACCTTAGTGGGCACACGCACAAATGACTGGACATTGAGAGGAACACACTGGCAGAAGAACACACCGACAGATGCCAGCAGGTCATCTATGGCAAAACAATGCGGACACTGAGGGAAATGTGGTCGAGGGCAGTTGGAGGAGAGCCTGGCTGCTGAGCAACCGGAGTCCAGGGGAAGACCACCTTCCCACTCCCTCCTCCTTCTGGCTACCCATCCATCTGCTAAGAGCTAGTTCCACTACTCAAAAAACCTTGCACTCAATCTCCAAGCCCAGGAGGGATCTGAAAGTTTTGGTACATGAGGGCAAGAACCCTGGGATAGAGAAAGCCCTCTTTCCTTGCGATAAGGCAGAGGGCCTAATTGAGCTGATTAACACAAGCTGCCTGTGGGCAGCTAGGCTGAAAGGGCAGTGTAACACACGCCCGCTGGGGCTTCGGGAGCTGTAACCACTCAACCCTAGAGGCTGCTGTGCGGTTGGAGCCCCCAAAAAAACGCTCCCCAAGACCTACTGATATGCATGCACCCCCTGGGGGTTTGAGCTATGGGGCACCAAAGAAGCGAGCCACACCCTCGTCACATGCCCTGTAAGAGGGATGGGGAAAACTCCTCCCATTTTATTAGGAGATGTGATGCTAAAGTCAATTGCACACATTTCCTTATCAAATTGACAAGTGAGAAAAGATAAGATACACTCACATGTAGAGTTTGAAAGCCTGAATTACGTCAATTCTGAAATCTCTAGACTTGGGTTTTGAGAAAATTTATTTTATTGTTTAACTCAGTTTTTCCCCCTATTGCCAGCTGCCAAAAATATCTAGGGTAGCTTACAAAGTTATGAGAACCAAAAGTAATAATGAATAGAACATAGTAATAGTAGGTCAGGCACAGTGGCTCATGCCTGTAATCCCAGAACTTTGGGAGGCCGAGGTTGGGGGATCACAAGGTCAGGAGATCAAGACCATTCTGGCTAACACAGTGAAACCCAGTCTCTACTAAAAATGAAAAAATTAGCCGGGCGTGGTGGCAGGCGCCTGTAGTCCCAGCTACTTGGGAGGCTGAGGCGGGAGAATGGCGTGAACCTGGGAGGCGGAGGTTGCAGTGAGCCGAGATCGCACCACTGCACTCCAGCCTGGGAGACACAGCAAGACTCCATCTCAAAAAAAAAAAGAAAAGAAAAGAAAATAGTAATAATAGTGTCAGACATTTAATTAGTATTCAATAATGGGAAAACACGTATATGTGTTCCCTCTCAGTTCAGTCACTAAACATAATACTTGCTTTTTCTTTAATCTTAATGAAACTGACTACATTTTTGTTAGACATTCAGGGTTATTTCTATTCATATTGCCTATACTGTTTTATAACCCTTTTGATTATTTTTATCTTTGGTCGGTATACATTCTAATGTAGCAATGTAGTTGCATGTATTTCTTTAATATTATTTTTTCTATTATTCCTTTTTCCTATTCTGGGTTGATTTATATATATATATATAGTGTATATTTTTATAGTTAATATTTAGAATTTAATACAGGTATCTGAAAAACTCTAAAATCAATTAATATCCCATACCTGACAGCGCAAAGTTGTTGAAACTCTACAATCTGATAACCCTTACTTGACATGTTGTTATTTCTGTGTATTTATTTTCACCTTGATCTATAGTCACAGAATTAGATACTAATGTTGTTTTTAATATACTTTTTAATTATGGTTAAGCATACATTACATAAAATTTAACATTTTTGTTATTTTTAAGTGCATAGTTCAGTGGCATTAATTATATTCCATTATGGTGAAACCATTACCACTATCCAATTCTGAAAAAAATGTTCAGCATTCCTGCTGTGGTTTTAATATGTCTCTTAAAAATTCCTATGTCTAAGTCTAAGACCCAATGTAGTAGTAGTAAGAGGTGGAGCCTTTAAGAAGTGATTAAATCATGAAGACATACTCTGAGATTAGTATCCCTGTAGAAGGGCTCCAAGGAACTACTTAGGCCCTTGAGCACTTCCATCTGTTCTGCCATGTGAGTACACAGAACAAAGTTCCTCACTACACAACAATACCAGCACCTTCATCTTGGACTCCCCGGCCTCCAGAACTATAAAAATTAAATTTCTATTGTCTACCATTCTAAGATATTCTGTTAGAGCATAATAAACAGACTCAGACAATTCCCACTAAAAATCTTTACTCATTAAATAACTCCTCATCCATCCATTCTCCCATACCTTCATATTTTCTATTATGCATTGTAATCTATAGAATTTGCTTATTCTAGATATATCATGTAAGTAGAATCATGCAATATTTGGCCTTCTGTATATCTTTTTTAAAAAAATTTTTCCTAGGTTAATGTTTTCAAGGTTCATCCATGTTGTAGCATATAGCAAAATTTCATTCTTATCAAAAGGCTAAATAATGTTTCATTGTATGTAAGTGCTACATTATGTTTATTCATCTATTGATGGACAGTTGGGTGGTCTCCACTTTTGGCTATTGTCAATAATGCTGCTATAAACATTGGTGTATCTGTTTGGGTCCCGCTTTCTATAGTTATAAGTGTGTAATTATAAGTGGAATTATTGAATCATGTAACTGCTGAACTGTCTGAGGAATAGCTGTGTTTTCTTCCATAGAAGTTGCCTTACATTCATGCCAGCAATGCATCAGGGTTCAAATTTTTTCAAATCTTACTGACATTAGTTATTTTCCGTTTTTCTTTCCTTTTTTCTTTTTTATTCCTCTGCCTCTCTCTCTCTTTCTCTGTCACTCTCTCAATAGCCTCCTAATGGATGTGAAGTGGTACCTCATCATGGTTTTGATTTGCATTTGTCTAATGATGAGTGATGTTGACTATATTTTTATATGTTGTTTTTATTGTTCGTTTGTATATCTTCTTTGGATAAATGGATATTGAAGTCTTTTGTACATTTTATTCTGAATATTAGTTTTTCATCAAATAGACTATATAAAATATTTTCTCCCATTTGGTGCATTATCTTTCCACTCTATTGATAATGTTTAATATACTTTTAATGGTCAAATATTTGATAAATTAACGAAGTATTCTATTTGTTTTGTTTCCTTCCTGTTTAATTGATCTCACTCTTAGCTTCTTGTGTCAATTTTTTTAAAACTTGAAATCAACCTTTTAGTAGTAGTAGTAGTAGTATTTAAAATAGCTAATTAGTAGAAATTTATCTGAGTAGCTTTTTATCTGGGTGCCTTTATTTTATCCTAGTTTTAATGATAATTTACCCAGGAATAGAACACTACATTGGCAATTATTTATCTCATAGAATTTGAAGATGACATTATATTGCTTCTGAAAAGTCTTATCTTTGATTGTTGGCATTTCTTTATATTAAAAATATCTTTTTATCCTCTGGATAGATTTAAAGTTTTTACCTTGCCACTGCTGTTATGAGCATCCAAAGATATTTGCATAGTTAATAGTATTTTTACTTTTCTGCTTGATATTTTATGTGATTGAATCAGAAGGATTATAAGATTTCTGAAAAAAAATCAGAAATTATTTCTTCAAATATTGCCTCTTCTGGCTTTTTTTCTAATTATTCTACTGAAAAATCTATTAAATACACATTAGAATTTTTTAAGTTTTGTTTCATGATTCTTAAAAACCCTTTCATATGTCTCATCTCTTTTTGTTGTGCATTATAGGCACTTTTTTAGGTTGTATTTTTTGCTTAATCTGTTATCTGTTTTTTGACTTGGTGATGCCAATGACTTTATTTTTCATGACCAGAAGTTGTACTTCACATTTCCTAAGGCATACACTTGCATACCTGCCTTATCTTTTATTTGTAAATGGCATATTTAATTTTAATATATTTATTCTCCTATTGTGTCTCAAATTATATTCAAAATTTCTTTAATAGTTTCTTTTTCTTGAGTCCTTTTATAGTTTCTATCCTGCATCTAGATTCAGTGGGTCAAAACCAATGTGAGAACACTGATATGTAGCTGTTGCTAAAACACCAGGGGTTTAGGCTAAGTCCTGATGCTCACTGCACAGAAAGCCAATCACTGAGACAACAAGTATTGCCAAGGAAGAAGGCTTGAATCAGGTGCTGCAGCCAAGGAGATGGGAAATCAGTCTCAAGTACATCTCCCTAATCAATTAAAATTAAGGCTTTATATGGTAGAAATGTAACTACATGCAGGAAAACAGGAATTATAGGGGAGAGTGAGGAAGAGGAGTTGGTCAACAGGAAGCAGGTGGTTGGCTAAGCAATCATGATAGGTAAGGTGTCTGGTGTCTCATTGTCCAGATGTGGTGATCCAGTAAGTTACAATTCCTTGACACTGTCTGGGATGGCTGATGTTTTCAAGTCTCAATACTTGGAAGGTCAGTTTCTATATTTATTCAAAATAAACTATAAACATCAGTTATATGGGATAACTGAGTTGGTTTCAAGGGCATGTCACTCCAAAATTTGAACAAAATATGCATTTAGCACTATGAGAACAGAGTAATTGGTACTTGTTGCTTCTTGTCACAGATTCACTTACAATAGTAGAAAATTGGTTCCTCAGTAATGTAAAAAGAGTGCCTTTTGGATACAGTGTTATCAGAAAGAAGGCAATGAATGGCTGTTGGGTCATGTTGAGAAACTGAAGAGTGGAAGCTCTGGGAAAAGTGAGATAAAAAGTTTTCTTAGAGAAGTAAACTTGTCTCTTTTCATTTAACTCATAATTTTCCAATAAAATATGTATCCAGTAAAATAAAATATGTATATATTTCCAATAAAATAATATATATATACATATATGTATATTCCAGTGGCTTATATTATATTCACATAGTTTTGCAGTTGTCACCATCATCCAATTTTAAGCACTCCAAAAAGAAGTCTAAAACTATGAGCAGTCATTTTCAAAACCTCTTCATTTCCAGGCCTGATAACCATTAATCTATTTTCTGTCACTGTAGAATAGCCTAGTTTGGAAATTTATAAGCAGAATTATGCAATTTATATTCTACTGTGTGGTTTTCTCCCTTATCAGAACATTTTCAAAGTTCATACAAATTCTAGTATGCATTAGCACCTCATTCCCCTTTTAATTTTAAACTAATAAAGAATTGCTGAACATTTTATAAAATGGCTGCATCATTTTACATTTCCACCAGTAGTATATGGGAGCTCAAAACTTCCCTATTTTTATTTTTGCCTTTTTGTTGAGATGTAAGAGTACTTTGTATATTCTGGCTACAATTTTCTTATTAAACATAGTTATTGCAAATATTTTCTTTCATTCTGTGGGTTATCCCTTCACTTTTTGGATTGTGTCTATTACAACACAAACTACTTAATTTTGGTAAAGTTTATTTATTTTGATATTATGTTTTCTAATTTGTGCTTTTAATATCATATCTAAAAAACCCATTATGTAACCTAAGGTTATGAAGATTTATTTATATGTTTTCTTCTAAGAGTTTTAAAGTTTTCACTCTTACAATACAGTCCATGTTCCATTTTGGGATAACTTTAATATATGGCATGGTGTTAAACAGCCATCCATTTCCATTATTTTGCATTTGAATTGTTCCAGCATTATTTGTTTGAAAAGACTGTAATTTCCCCAGTGAGTTGGCTTGGCACCCTCAAGAAAAATCAATGGGCCATAAATACAAAACTTTATTACCAGATTCTCAATTCTGTTCCATTGATTTATATGTCTTTAAGGATTTTGGTATCATAGTCTTCCTGGTTACTGTAGCTTTCTAATGTGCACTGAAATCACAAATATGAGTTCTCCAGCTTTGTTTCTCTTTTTCAAAATTGTTTGACTACTCTGGGTTCCTGGAATTCATATGTAAATTTTAGGATCAGCTTGCCAATTTCTGCAAAAAAACTTCCAATATTTTGATAGGAGTTGTGTAGAGTCTGTAAATTCATTTGGGGAGTATTGCCATTTTAGCAATATTAAGTCTTTTAATCCATAAATATGGGATAGGTTTTTATTTCTTTGGGACTATAATTTCTTATAACTATGATTTGGAGTTTTCAGTGAACCAGCCCTCAAAGTTTTTTGATAAATTTTTTCATATTTTTTATGAAATCATAAGTGGAAATGTTTTCTTAATTTTGTTTTGAGAGTGTTCATTGGCATGACATAGAAAAGCAACTGATATTTTTATATTGATACTTTGAATGTAAATTTGATACACATTTACTAAGTATAAAAGCTTTTTATGGATTTCTTAAAATTTTCTCCATAAAAGATCATGTTATCTGAAAATAGAGATAAATTTACTTCTTCCTCTCCGATGTGTTGACTTTTATTTCTATATCTTGCTTAATTTCTCTGGCTCATACCTTTAGCACATTGTTGAATAGAAGTAGCAAGCATAAACATCCTTGGCTTGTTCCTGATATTGTATGGAAAGCCTTTGGTTTGTAATTATTAAGTATCTTGTTAACTATGGTTTTGGAGTAGATAACTATCACTATCAAGTTGATAAATGTCTTACTTTGCTGAAAGTTTTTTTTCATAAAAGAGTGTTTAATTTTGTCAAATGCTCTTTCCACATGTATTGGCATGATAATTTAACTGTTTTTATCCTATGAATGGGGATACAAGCAATACTCTCATTACAAAAGGGAGAATTGACCAAAATAAAAGGGCTACAGGTCCCATGGAAGTCCAAAACCCAGCAGGCTGTCATTAAATCTTAAAACTCCAAGATAATCTCCTTTGACTTCATGTCTCACATTCAGGGCATACTGGTGCAAGAGGTGGGCTCCCAGGGCCTTGGGCAGCTCCACCCCCACAGTTTTGCAGGGTTTTAGTCCCCAATAGCTGCTCTCAGGGGCTGATTTGAGTGCCCGCAGGTTTTTCAGGTGATGGGTGCAAGCTGTAAGTGTATTTACCATTCTGGGGTCTGGAGTATGGTGTGATCTTCTTCTCACAGCTCTACTAGGCAGTGCCCCAGTGGGGACTTTATTTGGGGACTCCAGCCCCACATTTTCCTTCTGCAATGCCCTAGTAGAGGTTCTCCATAAGGGCTCTGTCCCTACAGGAGGCTTCTGCTTGGACACAAGGCTATTCCATATATCCTCAGAAATTCAGGCAGAGGTTCCAAAGCCTCAGCTGTTGCACTCTGTGCATGTGTAGGCTTAACACCACATGGACACTACCAAAGCTTACAGTTTGCATTCTTTGAAGCAGTAGCTTTTGCTGTACCTGGGCTCTGTTGAACCACTGCTGGAGCTGTAATGGCTGGAATGCAGAGACCAGTGTTCCGAGGCTCTGTAGGGCAGAGATGCCCTGGGCCCAGCCCATAAAAACCATTCTATACCCCTAGGCCTCTAGTTCTGTGATGGGAGGGGCTACATAAAGGTCTCTGAAATGCCTTAGAGGGTTTTCTCATTGTCTTGGCTATCAGCACTTGGCTTCTTTTTACTTATGCAAATTTCTTCCATTTGCTTGAAATCCTCCCCAGAAAATAGGCTTTTGTTTTCTACCACATGGCCATACTTCAAATTCCATACTTTTACACTCTGCTTCTCCTTTAAATATAAGTTCCAGTTTTATGCCATTTCATTGTTCACACATATGAGTGTAGGCTGTTAGAAGCAGTCAGACCACATCTTGAACACTTCACTGCTTAGAAATTTGTTCTACCCAATAGCCTAAATCCACTCTCAAGTTCAAACTTCCACAGGTCCCTAGAGCACAGGCATAATACAGCCAGGCTCTTTCCTAAAGCATAACAAAAGTGACCTTTACTCTAGTTCTCAATAAGTTCCTCAGCTCCATCTGAGACCACCTTAGCCTGAACTTCACTGTCCATATGACTATCAGCATTTTGGTCAAAACCATTCAACAAGTCTCTAGGAAGTTCAACATCTTCCCTCAACATCCCGTCTTCTTCTGAGCTCCCTAAACTGTTCCAATGTCTGCCTTTTACCCAGTTCCACAGCTGCTTCCGCATTTTCAGTTATCTTTACGGCAATACCCCACTCCTGGTACCAATTTTGTGTGTTAGTTCATTTCTCACACTGCTATAAAGAAATATCTGAGATTGGGTAAATTATAAAGTAATGAGGTTTAATTGGCTCACAGTTCTGCATGCTGTACTGGAAGCATGGGAGCATCTGCTTCTAGGGAGGCCTCAGGAAGCTTTTACTCATGGAAATCCTTACTCTGATAATACAGGAACACTCTCTTTTCCTCAGTCTTTTGATATTTATAATGACCAATATTTTCTCTATGACATCATACTTATCCGTAGGTAATGAAAGTATAAATGTGCTTGTTAAGCAAGAAAGTGTTTTACAAATGACCATTTAAACATTCTGTAGATACTGTTAGGCTAAGCACTCATTTTACTGCAGTGAAGATTGTCCAAATTAATATTTATAAAGTAAAATTACATGACATTAAGGAACATGGAGCTCTAGCTAACTCGTTGTGGCTACTGGTTATTGAAAAAGAACATCACAATTTCCAGGGGAGGCAAAGAGAAGATTTCAGTGTAACTAAAGGAAAACAATTATACCTGATAAATATGATTCTATAATACATTTGCTAAATATTTTTTTCCACATGGTATTCAAACAAAGTTCAAACTAATCAGTAATCTAATTAGGCACATGCATAGATCACCAATAATTAAATATAAACCAATGGATTATTCATCATCATAAGTCACACCTTTTGTTCTTCTTGTATTTCCTATACCTATTTTAATATTTTGTGTTATTTTCAACTACACATTGGACATCAGTGGAGTAGTATAACTTCATTGTTTAGGGCTCTGAATGTTTTCTTTAAGATCTTCTCTGGTATTGGTCAGAACTTAACATATACTTATAATTTATAATTTATTTCTAAAAGTATGATCTTGCCTTGATCTTACTTTCGTGAGCAGTTTTCTACATACTTGTATTCTCTACCTTTGTTGCCTGAAATAATCTGTTTTCAGATTTATATAGAAATAATGCACTTTATCAGAAAATGTTTCCATAATAAAACTATAAAATATGTAAAATGTACATGTAAATATTGAAATAACTAAAAGTAGAGCTATAGTTATTACATAAATAAATAGACAAGGTTAAAACAAAAAGGAAGGAGAAGAATAATGTAGTTCAGAAAACAATTTATAACATGATTCTATCTTCAAAAATAAGCTCCATGTATGTTAAAAGAAAAAATGCATACGTTTAGCAGATACTCTAAAAATGCAGGTCACAACAAATATTTCCTGTTATATGAATAAATGTTTGGAAGCAATTATCTAAAAATAAAATTGATATGTTATTTTATAATTCTACCAGATTTGCTAAAGCACACATATACACAATTTACTAAGGTAGACTTCTTTTAAAACAATGAATACTCATGAAAATTTTTAAATGTCAAATACCCTAGTGGGACTTATCTTTACAATACATTTCTGGGTTTGTTATTATTATTATTTTTTTACCTTGTAATGATTGTTATTTAAGTGTAATGTACACTGAAAAATTAATAGTTTTCTATCCTATTAACAGTATGTTATTCTCTTAATTCTTTTTACTTTTAAAAGTCACATAGTATTTCAAAAATAAAAACATGCTAATAAGAAAACATATCTATCTATGTATATGTGTTGAAAACTAGTTGAAAGTAATTTGCTTATGAATGAGCAGACATCTTCCTCTCTGTTCGTGTTAAAATATTTTCTGATCAGTGTTGAATTTTTTGTTTCCTTCTATAATTCTATATGCCTACACATTTAATCAGTATTCTATGAGTTGATAACATTGTCACTGAAAAATATCAACTTATATGATACAAAAAACTTAATATTGAATCAAAGATGGTAAAATGATAACATTTATGTCTACAAAAGTATTAAAATTTGAACAACTCTAAATCAGTTGGTTACAAATGAAGTTTTCATCAAATATGCACAGTTTTTAATCTGTTTATATGTGACAGATCAGCATCTGGAATATAGGATACAGGCATAGTATGGGTGATGGTTCACATTTTCAATTTTCATCCAGATGCTTGCAATAGTGAATGCATAGACTATGGATTTTCGGCAAACTATAGTTATAGAAATAGTCTTGGCATTGTCATACTATGGTGAAAGAATATATTCACCTTTTGTTTACTTACATAGTGTTTCACAATGTGTAAAATCATATAAAAAGTCTTTTAAAGAAAGCTATAAACCAAAAAACTTCAGTTCATATCCTGTATAGTGGATTAGGTATTTTATGCTTGCCAATTCTTACCAATGGAGACCGACACCAAAAGTCATAGAATTTTATTGCAAATTTCTTATTTTTCAGTTAATTTCCGCATGACAAACTGAGACATACCTAGTCAGGTCCCACTGGGCTCATTATTCATTTTGTTCAACAGCCCTGCAGGGCTGATCTGAACAGAAAGATCACACTGGCTCTAAATAGAATTCCACAGAAATAAATGTTTGTTAGCACCAAAGACATGTGCAAGAATGTTCATAGTACATTATTTATTTTATATAGCTGGAAACTGAAAACAGCATAAGTGTTCATTAACAGCATATGGGATTAATCAATTGTATATTCAAAATAAACTTGATCTTATAATTGTTAAAAAAATTAGAATAAAATAAATAAGTAGAATTCCAAAAAGGACAAGATGAAGTGAAAGAAAAGATCCTCATACATTCTATACATAGTGCTCAAAAGAGAAAAATATTGTGTGTACTTCAATATCTCATATAACTAAAGTATTTTTTCTCAGGATTTACTTTGAGAATTAAATTTCTAAATTTAAAGTTGGCCCAAATTTATGTAATTTAACAAGTCTAATTTGGAGGAGAAAATCTGCATAAATAGATTAAATAGCTTTAATTGATTATTTGTAAAATATTATAATGGTATAACTTTAGAATACTAAAAAGGATTTAAAATAATAGTCCTTGTTCAGTTCTAGCCCTATGAATATAAGAGGAAAAAATAGACTCCCATGTTTTAAAGTACTTATTTGTGTTTTTAATGGCAGAATTTTTTCTAGATAGTTATTTTCTGGACCCTCTAAACTATACTATTTTCTATCACAGTACTATCTTCATATTATGTTTATTTCATATTGTCTTAGAAAAAAATCCAATTCATTACAAATTTCAATTTTTGGCCCACATCTCATAATGAAACAATTCCTACATGACGTCCCTGGTGATCTGATTTTTTTCTTAGGATAATAAAATCATTTTTAACATTGACTTGAGGTTGATATATTACAAATGCAAGTTTAATCTGAAAGTCTATTTTAATGGTTTCCACTTAAATATGAGAAAGATATTTGTTATATTTGTTAAGCAAAAAAATAATTACTTTATTTTTCTATCTCTAATGATAAATAATATGAAGGAAAGAAAATATTTCCATCAAACTTACATAAACAATTCAAAATAACACACAATTGCTCCTATTTCCTCAAAAGTTTCTATTGCAGTTGTTTTTACATGACTTTTCTACTGGTGCTACATTTTTGAACTATTTGTTTTAAAAATATACCATCACTCCTGTTCAGTTTTGTATAACATTTTGCATTACTCTTTATCTTTCTTATCTTTCTTTTTTCCTTTAATGGTTCAGAAACACAAATTTACTACCTATGGTTTTGTAGGTCAGAAATCCAACACTGGTCTCTTGAGGTAAAATCAAGGTTGCCAGCAGGCCTGCATTCCTTTCTGATGGCTCCAGAGGAGACTCTAATTTATTGTATTTTCCAGGTTCTGGAGGCAGTTTGCATTCACTGGCTTCATGCCTCATTCCTCCCTTTTCAAAGTTAGCAGTGTAGCGTCTCTCTGATGCAGCTATTGTCTATTTATCTCATTCTCTGACCTTCACTCTACTGCCTCACTCTTCCTCCCTTTATTCTTTCATGTGCCTGTTTATTTATTTTTATTTTTATTATCCATTGAGGGTGTACAATACAATGTTTTCATGTACACCTAAATAGTAAAATAATTATTACAGTCAGGCATGTTAAAATTCTTGTTGCCACGTAGTTACCCCGTGTGTGTGTGTGTGTGTGTGTGTGTGTGTGTGTGTGTGTGTGTGTGGTAGGGCACCTAAAATCTAATCTCTTAGCATATTTCCATTATATAATGTGATATTATTAAATATAGTCCTAATTCTATACGTTAGATTGCTAGACCTATTTATTTTAAATAAGTAAAAGTTTGTGCCCTTTGATCTGTATCTTCCTTCTCTCTGCCCCTAGTAACCACCATTCCACTTTCCATTTCTATGTATTCATGATTTTTAGATTCCACATATAAGAGAGGTCATGCAGTATTTTTATTTCTGTAACTTCATTATGCTACTTAATGTCTTCTTGGTTCATCCACATTGTCCCAAATGGCAGGATTTGTTTCTCTTTAATGGCCGAGTAATATTTCATCATGTCCATGTGTATACCACAATGTTTTTATTCCCCCATCCATCTATAGACATGTAAGTTGATTCCATATCTTGTCTACTGTGAATAGTTCTGCAATAAACATAATGCAGATATCCCTTTGACACACTAATTTTCTTACCTTTCTATAAATATCCAATAGTGAGATGGCTAAATCATCTAGTAGTTCAATTTTTAATGTCTTGAGAAACCTCCAGATGGTTTACAAAATGGCTGCACTAATTGACGTTCCCACCAACAGTGTACAAGATTTTCCATTTCTCCACAACCATGCCAACATTTGTTATTTTTTGTCTTTTCTATAACAGCCATTCAAATTGGGATGAGGTGATATTCATCATGAGTTTAATGTGCATTTGCCTTGTAATTAGCGATTTTTAGCATTTTTTCATGTAAACTATTAGTCATTTCTATGTGTTCTTTTGAAAAATGTCTATTTGGGTCATTTGCCCATTTATAATTGAATTATTTGTTTTTCTATTGAGTTGTTTGAATTCCTTATATGTTCTGGATATTATGAATGTCTTGTTATTAGATGTATAGTTTGCAAATATTTTATTTTGTTCCAAAGAAATAAAATACTTTACCCTGTTCATTATTTCTTTTGTTGTACAGAAGCTTTTTAATTTGAAATAATCTTATTTTCTCTGTTTTTTTGCTTTTATTGCCTGTGCTTTTGAGTTCTTATCAAAAAAGTCATTGCCCAGGAAAATGTCATGAACTGTTTCCCCTATGATCTCTTCTATTTGTTTTATAGCTTTGGGTCTTATATTTAAGTCTGTAATCCATTTAGAGTTGATTTTTTAATATGGTGAGATATAGGGGCTTAGTTTTATTCTTTTGCATGTGGATATTTAGTTTTCGCAGCACCATTTATTGGAGACTATTCATTCCCCCATGTGTGTTCTTGGCACTTTTGTTGAAAATCAATAGGCTATAAGTGTGTGGATTTATTTCCTTGTTCTTTACTCTGTCTCATTGTTCTATGTGTCTAATTTTATGTCAGTACAATGCTGATTTCGTTACTGTAGCTTTATAGTATATGTTGAAGTCAGGTAGTGTGATGCCTGACTTTTTATCTCCCATGATTGCTTGGGTTACTTGTGCTCTTTTTCAGTGCCTTACCAATTTTAGAATTGCTTTTTCTTTTCAGTTTCTGTGAAAATTTTGATAGAGATTCCATTGAAGCTTTATATCATCACTTTAGGTAGCATGGACAATTAGCAAAATTACCTCTTCCAAAGCACAGACAGAGGCAGTGTATCTTGCTATTTATTTATGTCTTCAGTTTTTTTTCATCAATATTTTATAGTTTTCAATGAATATATCTTTTACCTCTTGGTTAAATTTATTCTGAAATTTTATTATTTTTAATGCTATTGTCAAATTATTTTCCTGATTTCCTTTTTTAAAAATAGATTGTTATTGGTCTGAATAAATACAACTGACTTTCATTTATTGATTCTGTAAACCACTTGATATGGTTTATCTGTGTGTCCCCACCTTAATCTCATCTGATCTATAATTGCTGCATGTCAAAGGAGGGACTTGGTGGGAGGTGATTGGATCATGGGGGCAGTTTCCCTTATGCTGTTCTTAAGATAGTGAATGAGTGAGTTCTTACAAGATCTGGTAAGTTTACGAGTCGTCGTTTTCTCTCTCCTCTTGTCACCTTGTGAAGAAGGTTCCTGCTCCTATTCACCTTCCACTATGATTATAAGTTTTCTGAGACCTCCCCAGTCATGCAGAACTGTAAGTCAATTAAAGCTCTTTCTTTTATAAATAACCCAGTCTCAGGCATTTCTTTATAGTAGTGTGAGAATGAACTAACACAGAGAATTGGTACTGGTAGAGTGGATACTGTTGTAATGATAAGCTAAAAATGTGAA
This sequence comes from Homo sapiens, assembly GCF_000001405.40. Classification (NCBI taxonomy): domain Eukaryota; kingdom Metazoa; phylum Chordata; class Mammalia; order Primates; family Hominidae; genus Homo; species Homo sapiens. The sequence continues at coordinate 85,034,587 of NC_000013.11, forward strand.
AGTGACTTTAGAACTGGGTAACAGACAAAGGTTGGAGTAGTTTAGGGGGCTCAGAAGAAGACAGGAAAATACAGGGAAGTTTGGAACTTCCTAGAGACTTGTTGAATGGCTCTGACCAAAATGCTGATAGTGATATGGACAATGAAGTCCAGGCTGAGATGGTCTCAGATAGAGATGAGAAAATCATTGGGAATTAGAGCTAAGGTCACTCTTGCTATGATTTAGCAAAGAGACTGGTGGCACTTTTCCCCTGCCCTAGAGATCTGTGGAACTTTGAACTTGAGATAAATGATTTGAAATTGGAAGTTATGTTTAAAAATGAAGCAGAGCATAAAATTTGGAAAATTTCCACCCTGACAATGTAATAGAAAAGAAAAAAACGTTTTATGGGGATAAATTCAAGCCACCTGCAGAAGTTTGCATAAATAATGAGGAGCTGAATGTTAATAACCAAGACAGTGAGGAAAAATGTCTTGAGGGCATTTCAGATATCTTCAAGGCAATCCCTCCCATCACTGGCCTGGAGGCCTAAGAGGGATAAATTATTTCATGGACTAGGCCCAGGGCCCCACTGCTCTGCGAAGCTTTGCATCTCAGCCACTACAAATCCAGCTGTGGCTAAAAGGGGCCTAGTTACAGCTTGGGCCATTGCCTCAGAGGGTGAAAGCCCCAAGCCTTGTGTTGGGCCATGGTGTTGGGCCTGAGGGTGTGCAGAAGAGGGGTTGAGCTTTGTGAACCTCTGCCTAGATTTCACAGGATGTATGGAAATACCTGGATGTCCAGACAGAGGTCTGCTGCAGGGGCAGGGCCCTCATGGAGAACCTCTGCTAGGGCAGTGCAGAAAGGAAATGTGGGGTTGGAGCCTTCACACAGAGTCCCCACTGGGCACTGCCTAGTGGAGCTGTGAGAAGAGGGTCACCATCCTCCAGATCCCAGAATAGTAGATCCACCAACAGTTGCACCATATGCCTGGAAAAGTTGCAGGCACTGAACACCAGCCTATGAGAGCAGCCATGGTGACTGAACCCTGCAAAGCCACGGGACTGAGCTGCCCAAAGCCTTAGGCGCCCACCTTTTCCATCAGCATATCCTGGATGTGAGACATGGAGTCAAAGGAGATTATTTTGGAGCTTTAAGGTTTAATGACTGCCCCGCTGGATTTTCGACTTGATAAGGTCTGTAGCCCCTTTGCTTTGGCAATTTTCTCCATTTGGAATGGGAGCATTTGTCCAATGCCTATAACCCCATTGTATCTTGAAAATACCTAACTTGCTTTTGATGTTACAGGCTCATAGGCAGAAGGGACTTACTTTGTCTCTGATGAGACTTTGGACTTGGACTTTTGATGAAATGAGTTAATGCTGAAATGAGTTAAGACTTTGTTGGACTGTTAGGAAGGCATAATTTTGTGACTGTTGTATGGTTGATACGTGAGAACATGAGATTTGGGAGGGGCCAGGGGTGTAATGATATGGCTTGATTTTATGTTCCCCACAAATCTCATCTGAACTGTATCCCTCCATGTCGAGGGAGGGACCTGTGGGAGGTGATTGGATCATGGGGGCTGTTTTCTTTCTCCTGTGCTGCTCTTGTGATAGTCAGTGAGTTCCTACAAGATATGATGGTTTTATAAGTGGTGGTTTTCTCTCCTTTTTCTATTGTTTGTTTGTGAAGAAGATCCTTACTTCCCCTTCACCTTCTGGACATGATTGCAAGTTTCCTGAGGCCTCCCCAACCATGGGCAACTGTGAGTCAATTAAACCTCTTTCCTTTATATTACCCGTCTTAAGCAATTCTTTATAGCAGTGTGAGAATGGACTAACACACCACTACTTTGTTTGATTTACTTATTAGGTCTAGCAGCGTTTTTGTGTGTGGGTGGTTTTCTACATATGGGATAATGTTATTTACAAACTGATAATTTTACTTTTTCCTTTTCAATTTGGATGCTTTTTATTTTTTGTTTTTGTTTTGTTTTCTGATTGTTCTTACTAGGACTTCCTGCACCTCATTTTCTTTATTAAAATACATTTGCAAAGCTTTAGTAAAAAGACATACAATAAACTTTGTATATTTCATCACACAGTATATTCTGATGTATTAACTTCCAGGACCACTCCTGCAGTAGATATTCATTGATCTTATATATCAAGCATTTGCCTAGAAATTTATAAACTCCTTCTCATTCATAGACACTCTGAATTAGTCAGCTCAGGCTGCCATAACAAAGTACCACAGACTGGGTGGTTTAAATAACATCAATTTATTTTTTCTGAGCTCTGGAGATGGAAGTACAAATTAGGGTGCTGCCAGGGTTTGTTTCTGGTCATACACATCTTTCTGGCTTCTAGATGGCAACCTTCTTGCTTTGTTCTCACAGTGCTCTCTGCTCTTTAAACATGTGAAGACAGAAATCTCTGATGTGTGTCTCTTCCTCTTGTAAGGATGTTGGTCCTGTTAGTTGTGCCCTGCTCTTATTACATCAGTTAGCCTTAATTATCATTTTGAAGGCCTTATCTTCAGATACAGTGACACTTGAGATTAGGGGCTCAACATATGAATTTTGAAGGTACATAATTTAATTCATAACACCTTCCATCTTAAGAGTTATACAACTTTTCATAGAAGAAATTCATGTTCTCAGAAGGCAAATCTTTTTATTAGTACATTTGTTACTAAAGTGAAAGTAGGACTAATAAATAAAATGATAATATTGTCATGCAGAGTTTCTATTACTATTTTAGTTAACAAAATGTAAGCATCTTCAAATATGATTAGGTAAGTTGTAAGGAATAGAAAGGAAATCGAGTCTAAGTAAATAACTTTAGGAATGTAGAGAAGCTCTTGGTTTTAGACAATATTCTGCATTGCCTTGATAGTTTATCATTTACTTCTTAGATTTGGTAAAATTATCTTTATATTTCAAATTTAATACCACAGGCTATTTTCTTAGCAGTATAAAATAATATAGTCGTACACTAGTTCAAACATTTTATATTTCCTCAAATGTTTCCTTTAAGTTTTACTGATTATGAGCATAAAAACCAGTTTTACTCAAATACTGTATGACATGTTACTATCATAAACTTTTTAGAACATAGGCCATATAATAAATATAAGAAGGTTAAAAGATATTTAATTGATATTAATGGTATATTAGTCTTAGGACCAGAAGCCATTTGGTATTCAGGGCAATAACAGTGTCTATTTTTATTCCTTTTTGTTTGCTATTAAAGGATAGAATTTGAAAATACAAATCTGAAAGTAGCATTGAAGTTTGAAAGCTGCATCTAATGATTAAGTCAACAATGACTTTTAAATTTGCCCAGTGTGAAAAACTCAATATTTTGAGCCACACACATATTGGGTAATCATTATAAATAGTATCTTTCCCTATGATATGTTAAGTTACAATCATAAAACTTCCCCTTAGATCTTTGAAGGACCTGATTATTATCTGTATTATTTCAAACTATAACCTAATTTAATATTAATACAACTGTTCAGAAAATTCTAGGCTAACATAAGAATCTGCTACTACTTATCTGAAACTATCAATTATCAAAATCAGTGTAATAAAGCAAATTTTAATCAAAACTACTACTAACACTTGTGAAGACAGATATGTGTTGTAATAATTAGAAAAGCCATATTTACATTGATTAACTGGACTATATTTGACAAATAGATAAAACCACTTATTTAATATCAGATAAATCTAATCTATTTGGATTAAGTGGTTTAAGCTTTGACTGAAGGCTTATTCGTTAAGCCACAATGCGAATACTATTTCTAGGTTCCCAGAAAAGTCACTCTCCCATCCAAAAATAAATTTATACCTGCTGTATACAATATCACTTTTAAAAATGTGTCTTTTAGGAGGATTTTAAAGAGTCCATATGTATTATTAAATGGCCTACAAAACATTGAAATATTTAAGAAATCTCTATCTTTACAATGAAAATAAAATGCACAAGTGAAAATAAATAATGATTACAACTTGAAAAAAATAATATGGCTTCAATGTTTTAACACTAAATATAGACTTAACAAAGGTAAAATTTTTTGTGAGTGATATTCTGGAGTAGTCCTCTTCACTAGATGATAGGGAACACATTAAAGGTTTTCCTCCCTGTAAAATTTATGTGACTTAGTCTATCATTATTTGTAAATGCCAAAAAATGAGACTGTAACTTACCAAAAAGGAAATGAATATGCATTAAGGACACTGTTACCTCAGGAAAAAAGAAAAAAAAAGAGATCAAACAATGACAACACTACTGAAATGTAAGCTGGGGTTGGACTAAAGAAAAAAATCATGACTTTTGCTAATTAATATCTAAAACTCAATCTGATGACTGTACATCTTCTCAAATATTAATTTTCCTAATCTATCAAACATGTATCTTTTCTTAAAACGTTAGCAAAGAGGTAGTGGTTAATTTGTTTTTCAAAAGTTATAAAAGAAAATTTAGAGATTAAAAATGCCTTGACAATATCGAAACATAGTGTTAACTTGAAAAAACACCCCACAAATATCTACAAATTTGGAAAAGAGAGAAGACTTTATTTTTTACAAAGTTTTATAACCTGCAAGGTGGCCATCCCACAGGCTGAGACCAGAGACAGTCACTTCGAAGGAGCAGGGGTTGGGGCAGAGTATTATGTGGAACAGGTTGGCTAAACATACATATTTAATGGGCTAGAGCAGGAGCTATGAATATTCAGGAAGGCGGTCCTGATTCATGCATATTAAACATACATCTAACATATAAACCATGTTCACTTTGGAGTGGAGACTTAACATTTAAATGTATTAAATGTATTACAATTAGACCCTATATGCCAAAGGTAAAATGTAGGACACGAAGTTACACAAGTGCACAGCCTCTGGGAACCAGCCAGGACCAGTCCGTGGTTGGTGGTGTTCTTTTCAGGAGAAAGTTACTGAAATCAGTTGCTTGTCTAGTCAAAGCTGTAGTTATGGCTAGTGGAACAGGGGTTCAGTTAGCCAGTGTCTATGAGCTGAATGAGTTGTGAATGTTTTAATATTGCTGATCTTGAGGACAGTGCTTGTTTAGCTGCTAGAGGGAAATAAAAACTTTTTGACGGTTAGAACATAGTTTATTCTTTAAGTGTAGGGGCGCCTGCCTTAACCCTTGCCTGGCATGGCCTTAGGTCCTGTTTATAATTTGATATCTCATTGCTACAAAGACTCTATTCTGTCCGTCTTATGATCTCTATTTTAATATTATCGCTGATCAGTTTAGACATGTCTGACCTCTTATCCCATCATGGCTAAGAACCCAGTTTTAAGCTTTTTCTGGGGTCTCCTTGACCACAAGGCGGTCCATTCAGTCAGTGGGTTTTTATTTTTCATTTACAATTATTATGCCATATCTTGCCATCAGCCAGCTCCCTTATAGCATATTATTAGACAATTTGAACAGAAAGAAATTACAAAAAGAAGCTATTGAAAGTTTATGGAAATTGTTTAAATAATATATTCAGAAATGAAATGCTGCCTATAATAACATTCCAATTCTTTAAGAGGAAAACATAGAGGTCTTCTGAGAAAAAAACCCTCAAAATAATTAGGGAAAGCATCTTTCCCTAATAAACTATTTTAAAAACTCCACCAATAGGATATTCTGCTAGAAACATGACTTGCTATTAGATTAGTTAATGAATAGATGTGAAATAGTTTAGTAGTTTGTTTTGTAATCACTCAAGCAGAAACATTGGATAGATAACAGAGTTAATGTGAATGGTCTCCAGCTGTTTTCATTTACGCCCCCCCTCAAATTCATCCCTCAGGATCAGTTACTGGCCACATTCTGCACCTCATTTAGTTTTCAATAGGTGTATGATCAGGAAGCTGGTGATTTACATGTAGCAGATGGAGATGATTATATAGAACTAATTGTTTTTGTCCTGCTGTGCTTTTGCTATGCCTGACTTCAATTGTATGCTTATGAAGGGGCTCAGTCTCTTAAATTCTTGACATTTAAAAACACCCCTCAAGTTCGGAGGAAATAAGATACCCTTAGATACAAAAGTGACTCCCATTTTTATATACTACATACTAAAATAATTACAGAAAATGATTATATGTATTATTCATTTAGTTCATGTGCTTATAAAATGTGTGAATTCAGCGATATCATTATTTAAATTTCTTAAATAGTTAAAATAATTTAATTGGTTTTGTCCTTTTAAATACCTGCAATTTCAACAGTAGTTGCTTAAAGATGTACTAAAACTATCAAATTATTCAAAATGCATGCAAACTTCTTTCCCTAACTTTGCCAAAATCATGATGTACAAAATATGCAAAAATTAATACAATTGGATGAAATATACTTTTAAAGTGTATTAGACTAGAAAAGGCTAAGTGAAATTTTCTCTTATGTGTGTTTTTGTTGCAGGGCAGGAAAACCCCAAATTGGGGCTCAGTCTGAGAGGGTTCTTTGCTTCATCCAGGAAAGAATTCAAGGGGGGTAAGCTGGTGATAGAAGAAAACAGCTTTATTGAAGTGACAGTGTTCCAGCTCTGGGGATGTTACAGCTCAGGCAGCATCAGAGCTCCATGACTGCTCCTGCAGAACAAGGCTACCCCACAGGCAGTGTGCTGAGAGTAGCAGCTCAGGGAAGTTCTGCAGTCATTATTTTTTTTTATTTTTTATTTCTATTTTTTTTTGAGACTAAGTCTCGCTTTTGTTCTCCAGGCTGGAGTGTGATGGCGCGATCTCGGCTCACTGCAACCTCTGCTTCCCGGGTTCAAGTGATTCTCCTGCCTCAGCCCCCCGAGTAGCTGGGATTATGGGTGCCTGCCATCCCGCCCGACTAATTTTTGTATTTTTAGTAGAGACCGGGTTTCACCATGTTGGCCAGGCTGGTCTAGAACTCCTGATCTCAGGTGATCCATCCACCTCAACCTCCCAAACTTCTGGGATTACAGGTGTGAGCCACCATGCTCGGCCTTTCTGCAGTCATTTTTATACCTACTTTTAATTACATGCAGATTAAGGGCTGGCTTATGCAGAATTGTCTAGGAAAACGGCAGTAACTTCTGGGTTGTGGGGTCCTTGCCATGGAACTCCCAGGTGTTGCTGCGTCAATGGTAAACTAACGTGCCATTACCATGGCGATGGTAAAAAGCACTGGTGGGCATATCTTACAGAAAGCTGCTTCTGCCCTGACACTGTTTTAGCAGTCCTCAATCTGGTCCGGCGTCTGAGCCCTGCCTCCAGAGTCGAGTCCTACCTTCTACCTCATATCCGTAGAACAAGTCTTTAAAATGAATATTCAAAGAGAAGAATCTTTTTATACTTGAAAGGAGCTAAGACAATTTAACCTTCAGGATTTTCAGGAAGGCAAACATTTTTTTCTGCAAGATATACAGGAAATGTAAATTTCTAAAGAAACTTATCTGAGAGTTGTGAAAATTGAGTCTCAATCAATTACTTTCTTCACACACATCTTCTGAAAGCCTTCTATTCATTATTGCACTGTGTTATGGCTTTGTGTTAACTCCAAAGCTTAAGAAAATAAGTAGTATAGATATGCATTTTCCACATTTAACATATGATCATAGTTTTTTCACTAGTTACTAGTTAGTTAATAAAAATTAATATTTTTTGTCAGAGTACTGTAACAGCGAATTTGTTACTTGTCAGGGACATGACTTAATACACTGAGAAACTGGAGGAAAAGTGCTGAAAGTAGACACAGGAACGTTTAGTCATTCACAAGCTAAAGACAAAAGCGACTCTTGTAGTTATGAAATGAAGAGTACCTTCTCATACGCCCTATAACTTGGTATTCAGTGTATCAGAAATTATGTTTCTTATTAAATGGTGCTTCTGGCCCTGAAAATTCTCTTTCAGATGCACTTAGAATAAAATTGTTGATTTAAATATTTGTTTATAACTACTGTTTGTAATTAAAACTTTTAAATTTATTTTATTTATTACAGATACATAATAGTTGTACATATTTTTGAGATACATGTGATGTTTTGATACAAACATACAATGCGTAATGATCAAACCAGGGTAATTGTGATATCCATAACATCAAGCATTCATCATTTATATGTGTTAGGAATATTCTAATTCCACTCTTGGAATCATTTAGAAATACACAATAAATTATTGTTAATATAGTTACTGTATTGTGCTACTGAACACTAGATATTATTTTCTCTAACTGAATTTTCTAACTTAATTTTTGCACCCACCAACCATCTCCTCTGTGCCAGGCCTATTTCACTTAACATAGTGTCTTTAGTTTCATCCACGTTGTTGCAAATGATAGTATTTCATTCATTTTGTGGCTGAATAATATTCCATTGTGTATATGTACCACATTGTTTTATCCCTGATGAACACTCAGGTTGATTCCATATCTTGGCTATTGTGAATAGTGTTGTAATAAACATGGGAGTGCGGATATCTCTTTGCTATCTTTTTTTTTTTTTTTGAGACGGAGCCTTGCTCTGTCACTCAGGCTGATCTTGGCTCACTGCAACCTCTCCCTCCCGGGTTCAAGCAGTTCTTCTACCTCAGCCTCCCACATAGCTGGGATGACAGACGCATGCCACCATGTCCAGCTAATTTTTGTAGTTTTAGTAGAGACGGGGTTTCACCACATTGGCCAGACTGGTCTCCAACTCCTGACCTCGTGATTTGCCTGCCTCAGCCTCCCAAAGTGCTGGGATTACAGGTGTGAGCCACCACGTCCAGCCATCTCTTTGATATACTGATTTCCTTTCTTATGGATATATGTAGAGCAGTAGAATTGCTGGATCATATGGTAGTCCTAAATCATGGTTTTTGAGTGTCTAGAAGAAAAGCTAGTATTAAAATAAAAATTTAAAGAACTTTAACTGGTCATCTTTTTTTTATTCATCAGTTATAATTCTATTGGTTGCAAAAATAGAAGTTGTTATTATGAAGTTAACTTCCTTAGCTATTCATGTGTCAAACTGCTAACTAAAAGCTCTTCGGAATATTTCTGTCTTCTGCTTTTACTCTAAAACCCACTCTCATATGTGTAGTTAGACCCATGTACAAACAGAAAGCACATCATTGATACAGGTTTATACCATATTATGTCCAAAGTTTGACACATTTAAGAATTATTAATTTCTATTTTAAATTGACTATATGTTGAAGGAAAGATGAGCATTAACTCAAGGAAAAAAGTGCTGACACCTTCCGAAAAGTAAAATCTAGTTTCTCTAATTCTCTCATCTAAAATATGAACATTTCTTCCTCTCTTTTGCAGGTTGTAATACAACTGAATAACACAAATCAGTAAATTAAACGTATTGATTTATAAAAGTTGAGTAGGCTGAATTAATATTAAAGCATAAGCAAATTTTTATTCTCATTATCAGTGTTATCACCTTAAGAGCATGTGTAGAAAAAGAACTAGATTGGATCTGGTAGATGATATGGTTACTACAAAGTTCTGAAAAAGTTGACTTCTATGGGAATGTATACATGCACTAAAATATTCAATAATTCCTTTTATAGAAATGAAACTTGTTAATAGCAAGTGATTGTATTTCTCTGGCATACAATTATAGCCACACTCTCTAACTTCATTACACATAGGGAAATTGCCCCGCAGCTGCAGTGCACAGTATGTAAACAGGGAATAACCGGCTGTCTTTGAATGTAAATTTGCAGCTAGTGAATATTTTGACTGATTGGCATTTTCAACATGGTGTAAATATATTTTTAAATGACCATATTATATATTTTAAATCTAAAAATGTATGATCATTTTTCCCATAATGGAAAAGGAAAATTACTGTGTGATTGTACTAGAGAGAAGTCAAAATTAAACAAGTTATTATTCTGGAAACTTTTTGTTGCTGTAAAAAACAATTCTATATTATCTTAAAAAATTTCAATATCTGGCTGTCTCAAAATTACTTTTTAAAAGTTTATTTTGTTAATAGTGATCCCAGAGCTTAAGTATCTTCTTAATTTATAGTCAGTAAACTGAGAATTTGATAATTTGAATAGTCATCTAACGTGACACAATCAATGAAATAATTCAAATTCTGGCCCTGATTATTCAGTTTCTATTCAGGAATTCTTTCAATCACACATGGTATTGTGAGTGAAATTAAAATCTTTCAGTGAATATGGTAAAATCATATATATGAGCATTTTAAGTCAGTCAAATTAAAGAGGAAAGACAACATAAGAAAGCAATGAAAAGAATTAAATATAAGAAATAAATAGGAAATCTAATAAATGAAAGAATGTAAGATAGTGAAAAAGTCAAACAATAGCTTATAATACTAAAAGAATTGCACTTTTGGAAAACTAGTCCAATAAAACCTTTGTAGAAATCATCTATGCAAGATATGAGATGTATATCTGTATATATTCACCATGTCCCTAGGCTGCAGTGGATATAGAGCATTATTCCTTTACAAATTACATGAATTCTGTATCACCGACCATTCACACACGCTACATGTGCACACACACAATCTACAAACAATATAATGTTATGAAGATGTGGAACTATAACATTAAAAAACCAATTATAAACTAGAAATCTTATTTAAAGGAATTATTTATGATCTGAAACACCATTAATATTTTATTACATAATGAACTATAATGAATTCATGATAAAGTGGAAATATTTCCAGATAAAATAGACAAAGGACAAGAACTGGAATTTACAAAAGAAAAATCATTACTATAGCTTATAAAATAGCTTTACGTGAATGATAAAATGTATAATATCAGTGACTTTAAAATTTATAATTTTATTTTGTCTTTATCTTAAAGAATTAAGGGAAACGAGGCAAAAAAATCACATTTTACGTGTTTATATTTAAGTTTGCTATTTGTAAATATATCTTTGAGAATTACTATGACACATTTGCAAGGTAATGTAAAGTCAATAGAGTCTGTAGAAAATTTTGATAAAGTTCAAAAGTTTAATAATTATGTCAAATCGCATTCCAGAAGTTTGTCCCAAGCTACATTTCAACAACAACAAAATAGTCATATATGTTTTCCCTCACTCTAGACTATTCTGATACTGAAACCTGATTATTTAAAACAAATCCAACCTGGTAGATACAAAATGGCATTTTTTAGGGCCCAAGTGAACATTTTCTTCTGTCATGTATGTGCTATCTGTATTAATTCTTTTCTGAATATTCCACACATATGATTGCCCTGGTTTTTTTGTTTGTCTATTTCTTTTGTTTGTTTTGAATGAGTCCTTCTTAAATATAGTACTTTAACATATTTGCTAACATACTATTATGGTATATATGAATCTTTAAAGTGGAGTTTATAATTATTCAGTGATTTGGGGTGATATAGACATATTTTGAGGGCATGTAAATATTCTGAGTCTCAATGACACAAATTGGTGTTAGGCTTACTTTATTTGAATATGTCTGTGCCTCTTCAGGTTTGGGTGCATGAATTTCTGACTGGCATTCCATTGGTACCATCTTACAATTTAAAAATATTTAAAGAAATAAAAGGGATTTTAGGTGAATACAATGTAAAATGTTACTCCAATAAATTAGTTGGCCTAAATAAAATGGAAACAAAATTCTAGGAACACAAATTACTTTAGCTTACTCAACAGAGAAAATCTGAACAGAATTACAAAAAGTAAATATATCGAATCAGTAATCAAAGAGCTCTAAAGTAATAAAAGCTCATGACCAGATGGCTTCACTGGTGAATGCAGCTAAACATTTTAAAAATAATTAAAAGCAATCCTCAAACTTTTCCAAAAAATAAATGAGGAATACTAATTTATTTTGTAAGGCATGACTCACTCTGCTACCAAAGCCAGACAAAGGCATCAGAAGAAAAGAAATGGAAATTACAAGACAATATCCCTTATGACTATAGATGCAAAAATCATCTTCAATATACTAGAAAACAGAATCCAACAACATATTAAAGGGATTATAAAATATTCAATTACAACATATTAAAGGGATGATCAAATGGGATTTTTCTCAGGAATGTGAGAATAGCTTAACATATAAAAATCAATCGATGTTACACACCACATTAACAGAATAAAAGGAACACAAAACAAAACCAATCATGATCATCTCAACTGATGCAGAGAAAATACTTGGCAAAATTCGACAAAATTCATTATTTAAAAAAATAAACTAGGAATATAAGAAAACCTCCTCATTATAAATAAGTTGACTCTATGAAAAACCAGAAGCAAACATCATACCCAAGGTTGAAAGTGTTAAAGCTTTCTTCTTAAAATTTCAAACAAGATGGTAATGCCCAATTCTATCATCTCTATGCATTATTACATGAGAAAATTTAGATTGGGTGGTTTATCAAAAACAGTTCTGGAGTTTTAAAGTCTCAGATCAAGGTGCCAGTGTGGCTGGATTCTGGTAAGGGCCTTCTTCTGTGTTGCAGACATTCAACTTCTCCTTGGACATTTACTTGGAAGAAACAGGTAAAGAGAGCTTTATGGAATCCCTTCTATAAGAATACTAATCTCATTCATGAAGGTTCTACCTTCATGACTTGATAACCTCCTAATGTCCCACCTTGGAACGTCATCACATTGGAGTTTAAAATGTAAACATATGAATTTGGAGGGACACAAACATTTAATCCATTGTACTACTCAATGGATAAAGAATAGTCTCTTCAACAAATAGTGCTGGGACACATGATATCCACATGGAGAAGAATGATGATGGAGGCCTACCTCACACCATATTAAAAAACTAACTCTAAATGAATCAAAAACCTATAGTTAAAACTATAAAGTTTTTATAAGAAAACATAGAATAAATCTTTATGACCATGAATTTGACAAAGTTTCTTACACACAACGCTAAAAACACAAACAACAAAAGTAAAAAATACATGAATATAATTTTATCATAATTTAAAACTTTTATCCATGACATGATATTATCACAAAAGGAAGCCCATATAATGGGAGAAAATGTCTATAAATTATATTTATTATAAGTTTCTAATACCTAGGTTATATGAAAAAAATTTACAACTCAAAATTAAAATGACAATCCATTAAAAAAATGGGCAAATGACTTGAATAGACATTTCTCTAAGAAGGATATTGAAATACATAATAAGTACATAAAAATGTTCAACATCATTACTGATTGGGTAATGTAAATCAAAATCATCTTTTTATACTCTCAAGTGGCTATACAGTATTACTTTTTAAAGAAGAAGAAAGAATGAAAAAATAAATAAAAAGATATGGAGAAATCCTGATTGGAACTCTCATGCACTGTTGGTGGGGATGTAAGTTAGTGTAACCATTATGGAAAAGAATATTAAAGAACCTCAATAAATTTTAAAAAAGAAATATCATATGGCCCAGCAATTCTTCTCCTATGTACTTAAAATAATTGAAAACAGGTGCTCAAACAAAAATTGTATATGCATGTTTATAGCAGCACTATTACCATAGTCAAGAGGTGAAAAATATCCAAATTACCATCAAATTTTAAAAATGTATATATAGTACAGCCATATAATGGAGTATTATTGAGTCATAAAAAATAATAGAATTATGATACATGCTACAACATGGATAAAATATGAAAACATTATGCTACGTTAAAAGAGCTAGACACCAAAGGCAAGATATTGTATATATTATATTATATCTAATATAAAGAATAAACAAAGACAGAAAGCAGATTTGTGGTTGTCAGTAACTAGGGCGAAGTGGAGGTTGATAAGTGATTACTTAACGTTTATATAAGGTTCCCTTCTAGGTTAATGAAAATGTTCTGGAACTAGTTAATGGTGATAGCTGAACAACATTGTGAGTGTACTAAGTGCTACTGAATTGTATACATTAAAATGGCTAAAATGGTGAATTTTTTGTAATGTGAATTTACCTCAATAGAAAATGTATACATTTAGATACAGTAAAAGTCACTCTTTTTGTATGCAGATTTGTTCTGATAAGGGCCCAAATTCATGTAACCTCAAACACAATGAAGGTATAGAACTGATACACTTTTAAAAAAATATGCCCACAAACTGCCTTTTGAAATCAAGCCATCTACACACTCTTATCCCCTGTCATCTACTTTTCCGTTAGGCAGCTCTATAGTTTTGCCTTTTCCAAAATATCACATAAATGACATAATGATGTGTTATATATACAGGTTCTTTATCATAATGTATTTGAGAACAGAGCATTCATGTTGCTCTGTATATCAATAGTATAGATAAACCAAAGACTAATATAGATAAACCGAAGACTAATATAGATAAACCACTCACTAATTGAAAAAATATTTGGTTTGTTTCAAGGTTATGATGATTATAAATAAAGATTCCTATAGAAATATAAGTATTTATATGAAAACAAACATTCATTTATCTGGAGTAATTGCCTAAGAGTGGGATTTCTGGGTCATATTGTCAACTTTCACAAACTGTTTTTCAAAAGTGGCTGTTATAAGAGTCATCAAGTAATCACATTTTAGATTTAGGAAAATTACTGTGGAAAAAAAGGACATTATCTTAAAAAAATCTGACAAATTACCAAGAACACACAGGCCCAGAGATGTTGCCCCAGCTGATTTCAGATAAAGCAGAAAAAAATTGTCCTGCTGGTTCTTCCCAAATTGCAGGTATATGAACGAAAAAAGTATTGTAGTTCTTATTCCAGGTCACTAAGTTGTGTAGTGGTTTGTTGTGCAGTAATACATAACCGGAAGAGTAAGATCATTTATTTTTCGTATTTGTCTCCTGTATTTTTATCTTCTACCACAATGATTGTGAAGTTAATTTAGAGAAGTATGAAACATTTTATATGCTAATGCTCAAAATATTTGAAAATTATTATATTTACTATGAATAATGTCAAACTGGTTTAAATGATACTTATAATTTTTCTTAATTGGTCTTATTTTATGTCAATGATCATTTATAATCTACTACCACTTACCAACCTCTCAATCTTCAATCTTTTATTTACATGGGTCAAATAGCAATTAAAAATAGTATAGCAACACTATTAGTCCATTTTCACACTGCTGATAAAGACATACCCAAGACTGGGAAGAAAAAAAGGTTTAATTGGACTTACAATTCCACATGGCTGGGGAGGCATCAGAATCATGGTGGAAGGTGAAAGGCATTTCTTACATGGCAGCGGCAAGAGAAAAATGAGGAAGATGCAAAACCAGAGAGCCCTGATAAAACCACCAGATCTTGTGAGAGTTATTCACAACCATAAAATTCAAATTACCTCCCACCGGATCCCTCCCACAATGCGTGGGAATTATGGGAGTACAATTCAAGATGAGATTTGGGTGGGGACACAGAGCTAAACCATATCATTCCACCCCTGACCCCTCCAAATCTCATGTCCTCACATTTCAAAACCAATCATGCCTTCCCAACAGTCCCCCAAAGTCTTAACTCACACAATCACAAGGTCCGTCAATAGGCCATCTGCAGGCTGAGGAGCAAGGAGAGACACTCTGAGTTCCAAAACTGTAGAACTTGGAGTCGGATGTTCTAGGGCAAGAAGCATGGGAGAAAGATGTAAGCTGGGAGGCAAGGCCAGTCTCTCTTTTTACATTTTTCTGCCTGGATTGGGCTGTTATAGTTTCCCATTGATCTCAATCACAGAGTATGGTAATACTAAGAGACGCCCTGATGGATTTCCTGTATTCCATGCATACTCTTTCTTACCTCTGTTGTGGAGTGGTAGACTGATTTCATCTTGATAGTCCGAGTCACTCACCCCAGCTAACACCGTAACTGCCTTCTTAGCTTGTTGACTTAAAGGTAGGTGGAGCGCAAAGTGTCCAGGTGGCAGTTTTAACTTCCAGTTTAATGGAATAATTGTTGTGTCCCCTGGTGGCAGTGTTCCTCCATCTGGAACTAAGACCTCTAGGCCGGCAAAATGCAATGTCATGGGAACAGGAAGCAAAAATTTTGCTAGTGGATCACTAGGGGGGCTGTTGAGTGGTGCCACTTCCACTCCACCCCTTGATTCCTGGACCCATGAATCGTGGCTATAGGAGAAACAGTACCATATAATGGATGGTGATTCAGAGCATACACAGCCTTCTGGAGAACTTTGTCCCAGCCCTGCAAACTGTTGTCACATAGTTGCCATTGTAATTGTGACTTCAAAAGGCTATTCCACCATTCTGTCAATCCAGCTGCTTAGAAATTTCTTCCACCAGATACCCTCAAGTTCAAATCATCTCTCTCAAGTTCAAAGTTCCACAAATCTCTATGGCAGGGGCAAAATGCCAGCAGTCTGTTTCCTAAAATGTAACAAGAGTCACCTTTGCTCCAGTTCCCAACAGATTCCTCATCTTCATCTGAGACCATCTCAGATTGGACCTTATTTTTCATATCACTATCAGAATTTTTGTTAAACAAGTCTCTAGGAGTTTCCAAACTTTCCCACATTTTCCTGTCTTCTTCTGAGCCCTCCAAACTGTTCCAATCTCTGCCTGTTACCCAGTTCCAAAGCCACTTCCACATTTTTGGATATCTTTTCTGCAACACCTCACTCTCATTACCAATTTACTGGTTTTTTTTTTTTTTTTTTTTTTTTTTTTTAGATGGAGTTTCACTCTTGTTGCCCAGGCTGGAGTACAGTGGCACCATCTCAGCTCACTGCAACTTCTGCCTCCCAGGTTCAAGTGATTCTCCAGCCTCACCCTTCCGAGTAGCTGGGGTTACAGGTGCTCACCACCATGCCTGGCTAATTTTTGTATTTTTAGTAGAGACAGGGTTTCACCTTGTTGGTCAGGCTGGTCTTGAACTCCTAACCTCATGATCCACCCGCCTCAGCCTCCCAAGGTGGTGGAATTACAGGCGTGAGCCACTGCACCCGGCCCACCAATTTACTGTATTAGTCCGTTTTGACGCTACTGATAAAGACATACCCAAGACTGGGAAGGAAAAGAGGTTTAATTGCACTTACAATATCACATGGCTGGGGAAGCCTCAGAATCATGGCAGGAGGCAAAAGGCACTTCTTACATGGCAGCAGCAAGAGAAAAATGAGGAAGATGCAAAAACTGAAACTGCTGATAAAACCATCACATCTCATGAGACTTATGCACTACCATGAGAACAGTATGAGGGAAACCACCCCCGTAATTCAGATTATCTCCCACTGGGTCCCTCCCACAACACGTGGAAATTTTGGGTGTACAGTTCAAGATGAGATTTGGGTGGGGAAACACAGCACCAAACCATATCAGCAACATAGAAAGGATCAGGGGTTGGAGGATTTTCTAGAACAATGGTTCTTAGAAGAGTCAGTGTGAACATGAAGTGGAATAATTGCAAATAAGAAAAAAATAAACAAAAACATGTATTCTCTCAGGTGACTCTTTCTGCTCATGAGCTTCAGATGGTTTCCCAGATGGGAGGAACTGAAAATATCTCATACCAGTCAAATGGTGTAGAATTTCCTGAATATTTTCTTGGATATTTATAAAACTCTAGTGCTGTTAGTAAAGTCTACACTGGAAAACAGATTGATAGCGAAATATCACTGAGGAATAAGAAGAATGATATATATTTATTCCAAATGAGGTGAATTTGTTGGGTACATTGAAATTTTTAAAATCTATAAGCAGATGATCCTCTATTAATATATGATTCAGACTTTTATGTAGTACCTATTATACAATCTTAAATCAACTTAGTAGTAATACACCTAACTTTATTTTATTTATTTTTATTTTTTGAGATGCAGTCTCGCTCTTCTGCCAGGCTACCGTGCAGTGGCTTGATCTCGGTTCATTGCAATCTCTGCTTCCTGGGTTTCAGCGATTCTCCTGCCTCAGCCTCTTGAGTAGCTGGGACTACAGGCACACTCCACCACGCCCAGCTAATTTTTGTATTTTTCAGTAGAGATGGGGTTTCACCACGTTGGCCAGGATGGTCTTGATCTCTTGACCTTGTGATCCTCCTGCCTTAGCCTCCCAAAGTGCTGGGGTTATAGGTGTGAGCCACCGCATCAGGCCCAACTTTATATTATATATTAAATGACATCTGAGATTTGAGTGTTGTATGAAGTTGCAGAAAAAACAGCAAACAGAAAATATAAAATATTTTATTTGAATAATAGTGATATTTTTCAAAGATTTTTGTGTAAAAGTTAATGTTTTTCATCCCCATTATACAGAAAGGAAATTGAGACTCAGAGATAAAATTATTTGAATGCTATAATTTTTAAAAAATTTATTTTGCTTTATTGCTGTTTTTGTTTTTCTTCTCTTTTGTAGGGAATGTCATATTCACTGTTTGGTCTTTTTTTTTTTTTAATGCTGGATAGCTAAGCTTTTAGGCTAGAGTACATTTAATCTTTGATTGACTGAAGTGGAATAAGCCAAGCATAAAGAGACAAACACCATATGATCTCACTCATATATGGATTCTAATACAGTTGAACTTGCAGAAGTAAAGAATAGAATGGTGGCTATGAAAGGCTTTGAGTGGGGTGGGTAAAGTGGATGAAAAAAAGAAAGATGTTGCCCAATGGGAACAAAATTACAGTTATAGAAGAATAAGTTCTGGTGTTCTCTTGTGCATCAAAGTGACTATAGTTAATAATAATCTTTTGAATATTTCAAAATAGCTAAAGGAAAATTTTAAATGTTCTCATAGAAAAGAAATGGAAACTATTTGATGTGATGGATATGCTAATTACCCTGTTTGACCATTCTACAATGTATACATGTATCAAAACACCTATTCCATACATATATATAAATATTTATTATTTGTCAACTAAAATAAAACTTTAAAATGCACTAAATGCTTTCTCCTATTGAATAATAAACAAACAATGAAAACTTTTTAATGAATGAGAAATGTGAGAATTTTCATTTTGGTATTTTATATTTTGATTTTGGCATCCACTAAATAAGCTGTTTTATTTTCTTCTGTTTAGGCACTTTAAATTTATCTCTAAACATTTTAAGATGATTATATAAATAACCACTCTTTCAACTTCTCAAATATTTAATAGTTTACAGACTTATCGTATACATTCTAAATGTTAAGGGACATTTTCACATACTACAATACCTACGTACTTGTTTATATGAATTAGGGATAGGGAGTGTTATAATAGTAGCGGATTTAAGTTATAAACACAAGCCCCCACATCTAGATTCTGCTTTTCATATTACTATTTCTTAGAGATGGGTTCTTGATATTTTGCCCAGGCTGTTCTTGAATTTCTGAGCTCAAGCGATCCTACCACCTCAGCCTCACAAATAGCTGAGATTACAGGTTGGCGCCACTAGGCCTGGGTAGAGTATACTTTCTATCTGTATCTTTGGGGAAGTTATTTAACATTTTAGAGCTTCATTTTTTCACTTGGAATTGGCAAAAATATACAGTGACTGCCTCAAACAGGCTATAAGGATTAATTGAGAGAGGTTGTTCACTTTTTTAAAGCAAGCTTGCATAATGCCAAATGCCAACACTTACTATTACTTGATAGAATCTTCAAATCTCATGAAGTCAGTTATTTTTTTATCTTCCTTTGAAGATAAGGAAATGAAACAGAGAGAGGTTAAGTAAATTGCTCAAGATTATACAAATAACAGAATGCAAAACCACGATTTGAATTCAGGTAGTCATATTTACAGTTCAAATACTAAGTAATTATTATTGCCTTGATAACTATATCCATTATTATTATTACTATGATTCTCTAAATGATTGTGGAAGAATGTAATTATCAGCACCAAGGAAATGGTGCACTAACTTCAGAGATTATGTGAGAAAGAAATGATGTAGGAATGAAATAGAATTATGTCTATTCTTCAACTAAAAATTGAACGAAAACATGCTGCAAAGCTGTGTCATATCATCTTATTAACATCATTCAAATTCCATCTCCATGTTTCTCTTTTAGGCTATCGATACTCTCATTTAAAAATGCATATGATAATAAAACAGATAATACCCACAAAGAAAACTCTAAACATGGTATTATTATGTAGCTTTACACTTATATATGACGATTTCCCTCTGTGCCAAATGGAACTAGGTCAAGTTTGGACATGTGATACACCTTAACATCAGAAATAAAGATGATCAACTACTGAAATCAGGTCAGTATGCATTGCTAAGCAAGACTGACAGAAGATAAAAGAGTTGTAAAGATCAAGAGATTACAGATTCAAATTTGGCTCTTCTATGAAAATGCATGCATATATCACACCATAACTTATCTGCATTTTAGACATCATTTTCACTTCGTAAGTCTTATTGGCAACATTTTGATTTTAATATTATTAATTGAGGAAATCTCAGATATTCAGCTTTATGTGTTAAATAAGATTAAATAATACATAGAAAATGCATTGCTTCTATGCTAACTAGCAACAAGTGACTTACCGTTGAACCAATAAGGCAATGATTTATTAAAAGAGGAAGATAAACTTTTATTTGTAAAGAAAATATGGCTTGTTATATTTATGATAAGTGAAGAACAGATTTTATTATACGAAGCTTTTGTATGTTGTGTTCAAGCCACCAAACACTGTTCTAAAGAAACCAATTTTATTCAGATGTTGTAAGTGTTAATCCTTATCCTGGCCTAATACTTTAAAGCAGGAAAAGCTAATCTGGATTTATTTCATCTGAATAACGTCCTATATTAAAACATGATGTAATCTCTTATTCTCTCTACATGAAAACCCTATGTCCTTCTCCCTTTACTCTCAGCTCTCTTCCCTCCTTCCTGTAAATTTCATTAACTGTAGCCAAGTAACCAGAAAATCAGTGAAAGAGGTTAAATAGCTAACACCATAGCAAATGAAATGATAGTGATATCATCACAACATTCCAAAGAAATGGCCCTCCATTGAATTTTAGCCCTATTTCGGATTTTATTTAAGTAACTACTGATGCATAGCACAGTAGATACTCTCTTCTAAATATGACAAATAAAATTTAAAAACAAGAAGCTGTTTTGGATAATATCAAGCAACGCCATGTGTTTCTTAGAAATTGTTTTGCAAAATTTCTGAGCTTTACATTTTCAGAGTTTAGCTATTTAGCCATCAGGGGAAAAATGAACTTTTAAGAAATTTTTATTTTCTATTATTAATTTTGTTTAAATTGAATAGGACCATAATAATATATTGTATGAGTCTGTTCTCACACTGCTATAAAGACATATCTGAGACTGGGTAATTTATTTAAAAAAGAATTTTAATTGGCTCACAGTTTTGCAGGCTGTACAGGCTTTTGCTTCTGGGGAGGCCTCAGGAAACTTAACAACCGTGGTGGAAGGCAAAGGGGAAGCAAGCACGTCTTACTTGGAAGCAGGAAGAAGAGAGATCGGGGAAGTGCTACTCACTTTTGAACAAGCAGATCTTGGGAGAAGTCCATCACAAAGTAACACTAGGGGAATGAGCTAAACCATTAGAAACCTCTACCAAGATCCAATCACCTCCCACCAGGCCCCTCCCCCAACACTCTGGATCACAATTTGACATGAGATTTGTGCAGGGACACAAATTCGAACCAAATCATATATTAAGAATATTTTTCACTAAATTTGTCCACATTTTCAGATCCTCATTTAATGCTAGAGGCAGGAGCACTTTATAAATTCTCCTAAACACTATGTGATTCTTCCATCAAATTTTCCACATTTGCAAATTTGTCAGCCTTTAATTCCATATCACTCTTCTTTCTCATCTTCCTGCAACCTCACATATAAAGCACAGCAAATTTAGACTATTTCAAAAGTATGTATAAGGTATGCTTAAATGCATATGATTGAAGTACTAATGTTACATAATTGTTTAAATGTGCTACTGGTATATAAACATTTTTCTTTTAACAGTGTTTTATTAAATAAAATATACATTTGCTTATTTTCTGAGAGCACACATTAGTATATGTGTTGTAAAATATAAAAATTGAGCCTTTGGTAAAATTTTGAAGTCTAAATGTCGTGAATACAATATGGTTTTTGTCGGGATCAGTAGACCAATAATACTTTGTGATCAAGGCTCCTGTGTTATTTCCCCAAAGTGTTCCATAAAAGGGTTGTGTCCGGGTCATCGACTTCATCGGCCTTTTGCAAAAACTGCTGTCAATTTAATTATAGTCAAAGAGATCTGTGTTCTATATGATTAACCATAAAATAGAGTTCATTTCCTTGGAATGAATACATCTTATTATAACATTCTACATATTATAATTTTCTGGGTATGGAAAGTATAAATCACATTTGAAAATTATATAATCACATTTTCTTTCCTACAAGAATTCAGTCATCCAGTACTTGTGCAATGGAAAAATATTCCCCTGCCTTCATCACATAATTATTGCAATCTTCACTTTTTTGAGGGAAAGAAATGTTAAAAGTTATAGTCTAGAACTTTCCATTGCTTATAGGAGCTGCTCACAGTAAGGCTCACCTCAAGTATTAAACGCCACAAATGAAATACAATATGGTTGAGCTTAGGGACATAATTGGAACAAAACAAAACAAAAATACACTTGTAAAAAATTTAACTTTACATTATAGTTTCTTCATGAAATATTGTCTGTAGTGTTTCATAGAAAAAAATTAAAAGTAAAACACAATAAAATTCACATATTATCAGAGGACCCCCAAATTACTAACTGCTTCAATAATAATAAAGGCCAGGTATTATCAAATATGACATATATGATATTTACACTTAATTTTATTTATAATTGTTTTATAAATCAATGTTATTAAAGTGTATTTTGAAAAAAATTTATATAAAATATCTAAAGGAAGAGATCTTATAGAAGTTTTTAAAACCTATTTAGGAAATAATTTGCCATTTGCTTGTAAATTTATATGAAGACTTTATTCACCCTATAAGTATTCCCCCAACCGCCAGATATCTTGTGAGGCAAATGTTTAAAGAAGACATCACAGATGAGGAAAAACATAAAATTGGCACATATAAATGTAACAATAATTTTTAAAGTACAGATAGGTTGATTTAACATGCAATATAAAAATAAAAACAAACGGACAAATTTGGATACCTAAAATTATCCTAATGTGGAAGGTGAAGTGTGTCCAAATGTTCAGACTAAATACACAGTACAGCAGGGTCATTTACAAGTCTAGTTTAAAATGTGAGGTGCCATGTGTGGAGAAAAAAATATTGGCTGGAAGCAGGTTCAATTAGATGGATTCACTCGTGATTAAAAGAAAACATCCAATAAGCATGTATTAACTAAATATTCAGATGCTATCATTGTTACACTTCTCTTGAATTTTACAGGTTCCCTTTGTTATGATTATTTCCATTCATGTGTTTTAGAAATAGAAATCTATAGTTTGTTCACATTTCTGTAGTAAGATGCTTTCTGTATTCAAATACACTTTATATTGACAAAATATTATCCAATTTATTTTAAGTTTTTAAAAGTTTTTGCAGGCTGCATTACCACATATTTGTCAATATTGCATTTAATTTGTCAAATATATGTAAAATGGTATAATGGTATTTGTGCTCCTATTTTTAAATTTTTTTTTTTTTTTTTTTTTGAGACAGGGTCTTACTCTGTCACCCAGGCTGGAGTTCAGTGGTGCATTCATCGCTCACTGATGCCTTGACTTCTCCAGGCTCAGGTGATTCTCCCACTTCAGCCTCCCGAATAGCAGGGACTACAGGCACATGCCACCATGTCCAGCTAATTTTTTTTGTATTTTTTGTAGAAAACAGTTTTTGGCATGTTACCCAGGCTGGTCTTGAACCCTTGGGCTCAAGGAATCCACCCGCTTTGGCCTCCCAAAATGCTAGAGGACAAGTGTGAGCCACCGTGCACAGCTTGTTTTTACATTTTTAATCTGTTTATTTTACATATAGTTTAAACTTACATTTTATTGCTAATAAGAACAAAGAACATTATCAGCTGTTACAAGTTAAGTTTTCTATTACTTTTTTTGCCCTACAAAAAAAGCAACTATATTTGTAAATTAATTTATGAAAAGGAAGAGTCTGGGAATCATTTTATAAGCAATTCAAATAAAACAGAGTTTATATGCATAGAAAACACAGTATTGGTGTTTTAAAAACAAACATATAATGTGAATTATTAGCTTATATTTAATATTCCTATTTTAAATATAAAACTTTTATAATATAACTTTTTTAATTTGAAAATGGCCAAGAAACTTTCTATTTTTTACAACAGAAATAACATGGCACAAAAAACGTAATTAATTTTGACAGAGTAAATATTTCTGTTCTTTACGGATATGAAATAAATTGAATCTTTGTCATATATAGTCAATATATTAGCCTACACTGTGCTGGTTATATCATTTACATATTTTATTTGTGTCAGTAAACACAAAATCATAAATTGACTCATTTTACATCTTCCAATTATGACAAACTTGTCAACTATTAATATTTGGATTTTTGCATCAATACTAAATCAATGTTTGCATAAACCACTTACGTTAGAAAACTGTAGTCTGTGCATCCAACTGAATAAGAAATTGCAAGGTGAAAACAGGCTGTCTTTAAGTACCAATATCATCAATGATTAACAGAAATGGAATGGTTTAAAAATACATGAGTCAATCTCAACTATTTTTAATGGAAAGATGTGTGTGTGTCTTTTCCTCAAAATGGATTGTTCTGAGGTAAATATAAACAAGGAAAGGCATATACTGTTCCATTTTCTGTCACATTTTGAGCAACATGATAAATCAAAAAAGTTGGATTTGATTAAAAAATTATATTCTGCATCTCTACCTACACCTTACTATTATGCTATTATTGCTAATTCTTAAACTATCCGTAACATGCTAGTTTTCAGATGTATCATTATGCTTACACAAGTCATTTAAGGTTTTGTGCATTCTCATTCATATTATTTTAGTAGTCTTACCATAAGAAATTATATTTTAGAAACTCCTTAATCATATATTAAATTGCCCTCAAGAGCTTTCTTGATTTTAACCCTCTGTATACCATCCTCTGATTCCATTATTAATTTGCAGATGATTCACATAGAAGACGTTTGTCTTTTTCTTGGCAAGCATATTAATAATGAAATCATTGCTAATCTTAATTATCTTAATTTGTAATGTCACTTTCATCTATTATATTCCAATGTTTTATGTTAATTGCCAACAGAACACAAAAACATAAACTATATCTTTGAAAAATATTAGTTTACTTTTCTCATGCAGTTTTGGCATTTGGAAGAATAAAAATATTGATCTCTTAGCAAAACAGTATGGTTTATTGTGGATGCCTTTCCAAAATGCTCTTTTTTTTTTCATTTTATGTCAAAATAATTAGGTTACAAGATGGGACAAAACAAATCTGGTGAAAACATTTTACTGAAATCACATTTATTGTGTGACACAGAGGGTTTCAAGCCTAAACAGTCTTGTTCTAGAGTACACGGCAATATCAAGTTTGTGATTTACCTTATATATGCATATTTCTGTCTGACAGGAGCAGAATTTAGAGTGAATCACCTCGTTCAGGAAGTCAGTTTAATGTCATGAAAATTAAAAAGAAGGCCGGGCGCGGTGGCTCACGCCTGTAATCCCAGCACTTTGGGAGGCCGAGGCGGGTGGATCATAAGGTCAGGAGATCGAGACCGTCCTGGCTAACACAGTGAAACCCCGTCTCTACTAAAAATACAAACAATTAGCCAGGCATGGTGGCACGCGCCTGTAGTCCCAACTACTCAGGAGGCTGAGGCAGGAGAATGGCGTGAACCCGGGAGGCAGAGCTTGCAGTGGGCTGAGATGGCGCCACTGTACTCCAGCCTGGGCGACAGAGGGAGACTCCGTCTCAAAAGAAAAAAAAAAAAGAAAATTAAAAAGAAATTCAAATATTACTACTATTGTATGCAAGTTGATGGGTTCTAAAACTAATCATCTTCCAGGGTTGGCAAACTATGGTGCTGCTGAATAAACCCTGTCACCAATCTGTTTGTGTTGAAAAAGAAATGAAAAATTCGACCCATTTGTCCAGTGTTGATTATGTCAGCTTTTATGCTACAATGACACAGTTGAGGATTGGCAAAAAAAAAAATTGGCCATATGGCCTTCAAACCCTAAAATATTTAGAATCTGGCGCTTTATTGGAAAAATGTATAAACCTCTGAGATCTGAATTATCTTAACTCTGAATCTTTTTTAAAAAAGCATTATGCTAGATCATTGAGGAAATGTTCATCCCCATTCTATCTCTAAATGATTTTTTGGTTTTATCTTGAATAATTTGATTTTTTATGTTATCTAGCAAAGTTTAATTGCTACAAATTTACATAAAATATGTAGACATGTAATTTCCCTGAATTAAAAAAATTACAGTTAGTCAATATTTTAATAGGTCTCTTTTTACTTAGTTCTTTTATGTTTTGCTTCATATTTATAACAGTGATTTTATGATAGTTAATATATACAGTTTTTTCTCAGTATCTGTGGGGTATTGGTTCCAGGAGCTCCAGCAGATAGCTATATGCTCATGTTCCCATATCTAAAATGGCATAGTATTGGCATATAACCTATGAAATCCTCCAGTGTATTTTAAATCATCTCAAAATTACTTATAATACATAATGCAATGTAAATGCTATGTAAATACTTGTTATGCTGTATTATTTAGGGAATAATGACCAAAACAAGTTTGTAAATGTTTAGTATGCAAGCATTTTATTTTTTCAAGTATTTTCCATTGTGGTTTGTTGAGTCCACAGATACAGACCCCATGGATAGGAAAGGCTAACTCTGTATATCCTTTGATTTTAGCTTTGTGAGTTTGTATTTCAAACAATAATGGTAATGAATTAAATAAATCTTCATCTTAATGGGAAGAAATAGGAAATTGTTGAATACTATTCAAACAGTTCAAAAAAATTACACAACATTAGTTTGGCCTGTCATGCTTCCAACTCAGACCAAGTAAAAAAATGGCAATGAGAAAACATATATATATAATTTAATGGCATATTAAGTACATTATATACAAATATATACAAATAGGGATACATTAACTTCTTCTGTAGGAGCACATACACAAACACACAAACATGATGTAGGAAGGCTTGTGTATAAAATAGGAAAAAAGTTGTTGTTCCTAATCTCATACTCAACAGACAATACCACTGTGACCCAATCAGCGTTCTCCAGCACAAGATGGGTGTCCTGTAATTCCATTCAATCTGACGCTACCTGAAGATAGTGTCAGAACCCGCAGGTTAAGGGCTCTGTCCCCAAAGACTGTCCCCCTCTTCAGATGCCATTCACAAGAGTAGGCTCCAGGTTTTTCACAGCTTTTGTCTTATTTGGTTGGAAATCAGAGCTTTCCACAACTCTCTCCTTGGGCTACATCATTTTCTAGAGAGACTAACAAAACTCAAAAAAGTGCTTTACTGACTTTCTCTGGTTTATTCTAAAGGATAACACAAAGGATACAGATGAACAGCCAGACAGAAGAGATTAATAGGGTAAGGTATGGGAAGGGGTGGGGAACTTCCATGTCCTCTCCATGTGTGCCACCTTCCTAGCACCTCCATGTGCCCAGCAACCTGGAAACTCTCTGAACTTTATATTTCGGGGATTTTTATGGAGGCTTCATAATAATTGATCACACAGGAATGATCAATTACTATCAAAATCTCCAGCCCCTCTCTCCTTCCAGAAATGCAAGATGGAGCTAAAATTTCCAATTTTCTCATAAAGCCTGGTCATTAGGGTGATCAGCCCCATCTAGAAACCCAGTAAGAGTTGCCTCGTTAGAACAAAAGACACTTCTGCTACCCAGGAATTTCCAAAGGATTAGGAGCTCTGTGACAGAAACCTGGCCCAAAGACCACATATTAGACAAAAAATATGTGTACAGTACCCTTACTGCTCAGGAAATTACAAGGGTTTTAGAAGCTCTGTGACAGAAATGGAGCAGAAACCAAATATAAATTTTTTATTTCACAGTATCACAGCCTGTGAGAATCCTTCAATCATATCCTGCTATTGTATTTATTACTTTGTCCAACCAAAAAAGATATGCAATTTTTGGAAAATCCTTGGTCACTCAGTAGTAATGCATCCTTTTTTCACATTCAAAATCCAGATATTAACATAATACCGCTAATATATACTTGTAATTCTTTTAACTCTTTAACAATCGATGATTGCCAAAAGAGATATAGAAACATACAATTTACTGTAGAAAATTTAAGAGCAAAAAAATATTTGTCAGGAAGCCAAAAGAGTTAATTTTGAAATTGTGTTTTCACAACAAACATCCAAATAAAGGTATTCCTTGGTAGAATATTAGGGTTGAGAGTTTTGAGGAAAGATTATGGTTTACAGTACAGTTTTAGAAATTATCAACAGATACATACTTGTTACATTTTTGCTAGTAAATTTGGTCTTCAAGAGAAAGCATTTGTATATCAATAAAGTAGAGAAAAAAGCAAATAATATTTAACATATTTCTGATTTATTTTGCAAAAATGTCACTAGCATAATTCTGATTCCATGAATTCAAGATAGATATGTCTGTAAAAGATAACATTTCACTTGGGTGTTTGTTTTGGAAAGGAACAATATATCTCTTATTGCCCTATTATGTCATGAGTATACAAGAGTCAAAAGGAATGATATCTCTGAATCTTAACACTCACCTCCTTTTAGTCAAGATACAAAAGATCACACATACAAATCTACTGAATTACCAAGTCATAGATTTTATTTTATTTTATTATTTATTTATGGCATTTTTTTTTTTTTTTGACAGAGTTTTGCTCTTGTCAACTGGCTGGAGTGCAATGGCGCGATCTCAGCTCACAGCAACCTCTGCCTCCCGGACTCAAGCGATTCTCCTGCCTCAGCTTCCTGAGTAGCTGGGATTACTGGCACCCGCCACCATGCCCGGCTAATTTTTGTATTTTTGGCAGAGATGGGGCCCACCATGTTGGCTAGGTTAGTCTTGAACTCCTGACCTCAGGTGATCCGTCTGCCATGGCCTCTCAAAGTGCTGCGATTATAGGCATGAGCCACCACTCCCAGCCAGTAGATACTTAAATTATTAGTCAATTTCTTGGTTACTGTGATTATGATAATGTGACCCAGCATAATACATTTAGGAAAGCTGTAACTCTAACAAAGGAAAAGAGCAATTTTTTTTCTTTTCTTTTTTTTTTTTTTTTTTTTTTGAGACTGAGTCTCTGTTGCCCAGGCTGGAGTGCAGTGGCGCGATCTTGGCTCACTGCAACCTCCGCCTCCCGGATTCAAGCAATTCTCCTGACAGCCTCCTGAGTAGCTGGGATTACAGGCACGCCCCACCATGCCCGACTCATTTTTGTATTTTTAATAAAAACGGGGGTTTTGCCATGTTGGCCCAGCCGGTCTCGAACTCCTGACCTCAGATGATCCGCCTGCCTCGGCCTCCCAAAGTGCTGGGATTCAGGCGTGAGCCACCTCTCCCAGCGGAAAAGAGCAATGTTTAAATTTACAAATCAGTGTTACAGTGATAGGAATAGATATGTATATATGTAATCTTATCTTTCAGAAAATGTCATTCATGTATCTGTTCATAGTATCAATCAATCTTGATGCTGAGAATTAAAATTTAATAATATATTTTTATTAGTAAAAAAGAAAGGTAACTGAAAAGGGCATTAACATTTTTTTTTTTTTTCTTTTGAGATGGAGTCTCACTCTGTCACCCAGGCTGGAGTGCAGTGGCGCGATCTCGGCTCACTGCAAGCTCAAACTCCCGGGTTCACACCATTCTCCTGCCTCAGCCTCCCTAGTAGCTGGGACTACAGGTGCCCGCCACCACGCCCGGCTAATTTTTTTGTATTTTTAGTAGAGACGGGGTTTCCCCTTGTTAGCCAGGATGGTCTCGATCTCCTGACCTTGTGATCCACCCGCCCCGTTCTCCCAAAGTGCTGGGATTACAGGCGTGAGCTACCGCGCCCGGCCAGGCTTTAACTTTTAAAAAGCTGTTTTACAACTTATGGGCTAAGGAGTACATTGAAGTTGTGTGGGCTCATTAGTTTTCTCAGAGACTCATTGTGGAGTGGCATGTCTTTATAGACTGTGGCCTTCCAGCATCTGTTTAACGGCAAGTTTGAGTGTCTGACCAAAGCAAGATCCTATTGCGGCTGTTTTATAGACACATTCTTCAGTACTAAACTCAGTGATATTGAAAGAGATGAAGAGAGACATAGAGTTGGGATGGAGAAAACTGTTAAAAATGAAACAGGTGTATTAAAATATTCTTTAAAAATTCACAAGGTGTGCCAAGTTTGGTTTTTCGATAGACATCTTTTTAACACTGACAAGATCCATCACGTAACAGAGAACCTAGTGTTCACCTTGAATATTTAGCTCTTGAACAATTTTAGTTCAATTCAATTACAGCTTTGTGAGTGTAACATACTAGAAATGAAGTTGTTTATCAAATTCACTAGAATAATTACAGATTTATATGTTTTAATGCTGAGTGTATGGGTCCCATCTTGTTTCTTTTAAATCACTGCAGTTCCACACTGCTTTTTTCTTCATAAGCTTTACTTCACTTCCAGATATCTGATAGTTTTCTAAGTTCCTTAAAACAACAGAAAATGAAAGCGTTTTTGATTAAATAAAACCCTTAAGATGAATTCACATAGTTAATTTAGGCAAACATTAATAGTTCTCTGAACTCTCTAAGATGCACAACTAAAATTAAGTTCAAACATGTTCCTATTATAAGAATTACATTAATTCAAATACATTCCTTTTACAAGGATTACATTAGATCATGAACTTTACATCCATGGATGCTGTATTTCTATTCTCCTACTTTTGTAGACTTAGTATGTGGCTCCTTGCCACCTTCATCTGATTGTTCTTAATTATACTGTTTACACACATAACTCTTCACATTAAATAAAATATTTTAAAGTTTTCAGTTGGTTTATTGTGCTAACTGAAGTGTTTTTGTGTAATGACACTCAGATGATGTCAATAGAAACATATTATTAGAGATGATTATGCAATTTTCTGGAATTCAGTGGTGTTTCCATGATATTTAAATTCATTTTTACCAGAAGCAAGTAGCTGGAAAACAAATGATGGCAAATCTAAGACAAAGATATCATTTTTCATTATCTTCAATAATAGTATAGTCTATTGTTATTTGGTTAAAACAAAAGAGAGACTAATAATCAACATCATTATATTTTGAGTGAGTAGGTCGTATAGGTTTGATTAGTCAAATATATATGTAAAATAAAACATGTAATAAGGACATTTGTTTTTCATAAACTTAATACTTGCACTAAAATAATCTAAACATCGTGACATATCATATGAATATATGAAGTATTAATATATTAAATTTCCATTAATAAAGCTTTAAAAATTAACATGTAAATAATAATAATTATAATATAAGTTAAGATTGTGTAATGAGAGTAGTTTATTATTCAAAACACTTATTTTACATGATCTTTAAAGTAATTGTTTCTTTTTAAGTATTCCTTTCCTATGATGTTGAACCATGGCATGGATGATGACTTTCTATAATAGTTCAGGGTTCCAAAACACTATATGTATTGTATTTCAAATAACTTGTTTCTGGGTCTTGCATAGTTTGTTTAGATAATAGAATAGCTGAAATCACAAATGAAACGGCATGTAGAATATACCACTCAGGAAAATCAAGTTGCTGTTTTCAAAATATACCTATTAACTCCTTCAGGAAAACTTACTTTTGTTAAATTCATTTATTATACACATAGAGAAAATATTGCAGCTGAAACTGAGTCCTATAATGCAGTCATATAATGAAGTAAGAATGAATTAAATATCTGGAGGAGAGATTGGCCAATTTCCATTAAGTAGGCTGGGGCCATTTTGGAGTGGGAGTACTTCTAGCATTTCCCTCAGGGTGGCTATGACCAAGATACAAAAGCAGGAGAAAATGATAAAAATACCAAAGGGGAGCACATAAGAAGGGAGTGAGTGTAGGATGGTAACACAGGCCATAGAAAAAGAGCAAAAGGATTCATGAACAAGTCCAATTGTTGCCCATTGTGAAGCCACATATGTCTTCACGAGAGGCCACATAGAGGAACTAAGTTGAATCTGGTTTGACTTGTTCCCCCATGCAGGATTTGCAGACCAGTATGAGGGAACAGTGTGCACACTGTTCCTATCTGAGGTAGAGAGAGGTGTCCTAAGCAAGGTATAAGCAAATGTCTTTATAAATTCATTTTCAGGGAATTTGAAAGACGTTCCTGGAGGAGGCAGCACTGAAGAATGGGTAAGGTTTATACCTGTATTGTTGCTGAATACAATTATAATACTCAGGTTTTAGGATAAAAAGCATGTTCATAAATTGCCAAAATAAAAGATAGATTATTTCTAGATGCAATATGTGCTGATATCCTATACCTTCTTAAACATTACCTTTAATCTATTAAGGCTTTTCCTTCCCTGTAACTATTTTTCTCATTTATCTATTTGTATTTCTTCACTTTGTTTTAACATCTGCCTTTAGAGTCACTTTTTAAATAATTTTCTTAGAGTGTTTTTATTTCATTTGGGCTCTTGGATACTTCATGTAAAGAAGTTATGAATCAAATTTTTACTAATTCCTTAACTGAGATTTATATTACTATTACTTCCTTATTCTCTGACCTGTCCAGTAACGTTGATGACAATGAATAATACCTGCCTTTTCTCCTGTCCCAAACACTTTATTAGACTCCTCAAATTATCTAGAATTAAATTCTACAGAAAAAAAATCAAACAGGTGTATTGATCTCATTCAATAGATGAGATCAGTGAGCCTCCAAAAGGTTAAGTTACTTTCCTAAATGTTAATCCCAGTCTCACTGATGCCAAAGCCCCAGGCTTCTTCATGGTTATATTCCGTGCACTTCTGTAGAGCTGGCAGAGCCAAGCCTAGAGACTGTGTCTTAACTTCCTAGCCCTTCCAATGTATGTCTGACTGCATTTGAAAACTGCAGGTACTTATAGCACAGCTGGAAGAAATGGAGAAAGAAAGGATTATATTTTTTCATATTACCCTATGAAGATCAGAACAATCTACCAGATTATTATTTATATATGATAAAAAAATGAGCTAAACCATTTAAATCAACCCTTTGGGTTAGAGAGGTCAAAATAGTGAAATTGATGACCCAGCAGGCAATCTTTCTTGTGCTTTTTTTCCTTTCCTAAAGTACCATGTGTTGTTATATATGTCCTTGGAGAAACTATGTGTTTAATATTTAGTCTACTTAATATTTTAACTCTGAGCTATTGCTCACTGAGGCAGAAATCTGGATACTGAAGTCATACAGCTAAGTCCTATTAGAAGGCTAAAGAAACTACTTACAATTTCAGAATGTTGATCTGGGCCATTTGCTGTGAATTGCAATGAGGCAGAAAATGCATTTTAGAGTTTGCTGTATTAGAGATAATGGAACTACTTTGCTCAAGAATGAAGAGATAATTTAAATATAATTTTTTGCTTCATATACAATCTCACTATATGTTTTAGAGTCACTTGTATTATATAATGCTTATCTTTGCAGTTTTAATGTGACTATGACATTTTATTAGCTTCAAATGCCTATTCCCCAGATTTACTATCACACTGTTGCCCTACCCACCCCACCCCACTCCACCGCACCCCCATTTTTATGGAAATGGATCTCCTTTTTAGTGGTTGCTTTTCTGACTTCTGCCTTGAAGACAGTTCTTGACCTCTCACTGATGCGTCAGTGCTATGCTGTGACAGCTGTCATATATTTGCAGATCTGCTTTGAATGCTTTGTTTGTATAACATCCCTTCACTTCACCTTTTTCCATGTTTTTGATGCCACTCGCTCAGCTTAATCTACTTGTGATGTGAAATGAATGAGTTTTCTTACACACACATGAAAAGGAGAAGTGAAGGAAAAAGACAGGAAAATCCAAACATGAGACAGTTTTGGACAACTATTGGTTGGGGGATTCCAAGGTTAAAAGTGTGAATTACTTTCAGACCTGGGTTGATGAAAATTTTTATGCCATTTGTAGCTCTATTTAGCTTTGTGATGCATCCAATCTTATGGATAGCATAATCATTCGCATATAACCTGTAATATTATGCTGTTGACACATTTTAAAACAATAGTGAAATCCTAACACCATAAGATAAAGGATTTATTATTCTTATTTTATAAACAGACATTCTTAAGAGATTCCATAATGTACTTTGAGACATTTTCTGAGGTGGGCATCTGAAGCTCAGCTTGTAGTTTTTGTCATCCAGTTAATCAGTAAGATTTTATGGCGTTTGCCTCATAACAATTTGTATGGACAATCTTTCATTAACCTCTGCTTCTGCATTTTACTCTTATCACCAGGTCCAAATCACATCCCCAGGAAGTAAACTAAGTTTTATTTGCTAAAATGTGTTTATAATATATGTATGTGTGTATATGTGCTAAATACAGTAAGTTAAAAAAATTGACAATAAAGAATGACTGGTCTCAAGGATCCAGTGGTTTAGTGGATGTTTTGTTAGATTTATTCAAGAGATTTTGTTTTCATATTGCTTGATGGTGTCTTTTAAGAGGTGTCCATATATTTATTACAGTCTGTTTCTCTTTTGTGGCTTTCATTTCCAAACTTTTTTCTCTCTTTTTATCACTGAACAAAAAGTATGTACTGCACCCAGCTGGCAACTAACATAATTATACTAGCTAGCTGTCTTTACAAATACCACTCTACTATCTTCATTGATGTGATTTATGACTTTGACCGAACTTTTCCAGTAAATTCTTGCTAAGGTAGATAAAAGTTGCTCATTGTATTGCCCATTGTTTTTCTTCATTTATTTATTTTTATTTTACTTTAAGTTCTGGGATACATGTGCTGAACGTGCAGTTTGTTACATAGGTACACATGTGCCCTGGTGGTTTGCTGCACCTATCAACCCATCATCTAGGTTTTAAACCCCACATGCATTAGGTATTTGTCCTAATGCTCTCACTCCCCTTGCCCTCGACCCTCCGACAGGCTCCTGTGTGTGATGTTCCCCTCCCTGTCTCTGTGTTCTTATTGTTCAACTCCCACTTATGAGTGAGAACATGCGGTGTTTGGTTTTCTGTTCCAGTCTCATAATCCCATTTTAAGTAAGTCAAAATGTTCAACTTTCTATAGACAGTATCAAATAATTAATCCTCCAAGACCATTAAAAACCTTATGGAAGGCCAGATATGGTGGCTTATGCCTGTAATCCTAGCATTTTGGGAGGCCAAGGCAGGCAGATCACCTGAGGTCAGGAGCTCGAGACCAGCCTGGCTAACATGGTGAAACCCTGCCACTAGTAAAAATACAAGGATTAGCAGAGCATGGTGGCAGGAGCCTGTAGTCCAGCTACTCGGGTGACTGAGGCAGGAGAATCACTTGAACCCAAGAGACGCAGGTTGCAGTGAGTTGAGACTGCGACACTGCACTCCAGCCTGGGCTACAGAGCAAGATTCTGTCTCAAAAAAAGAAAATTTAAAAAAATTTAAAACCTTATAAAGCTGTTTAAGTATTACTATTGGGAAGCCAGAATTTGACAATTTTGGAGGTCCAAGGAGAACAAAATTAAGCTGTTTTCCTCTCTATGTCACAATGCTTTCCATTCAGAAACAGCACTTGCTTCTGC
The DNA here is from genome assembly GCF_000001405.40 of Homo sapiens. NCBI lineage: Eukaryota > Metazoa > Chordata > Mammalia > Primates > Hominidae > Homo > Homo sapiens. Next base: position 85,070,307 of record NC_000013.11, read on the forward strand.
AAGTCCTTGGGCATGTAGCTTGAGTGTCTCTCAGAACATGATAATTATCGGTAATTAATTAGATTGTGTCTGAATGTTAATTTCTTTGCATCAAAGCTCCTCAAATACCAATTTAATTTCCTATCCTTGTGTTAAAAAAACCTTTCCTAGAGACCCTTTGATCATCTGATCAGATGTGAAAACTTCCGTTCTTTTCTTTGTGTTAAGAACACTGTTATTTGTCTCTCTCTCCCGCCTGCCCCTTTTTGTTACATGTCTTTTAATAGGAAAGTACTCAAGAAAGAAGATAGACATAGACCCCAGTAAGCCCACTCTTCAAGCCAAACCTGGTGAATAAAAAATTCAGAGCGTTCCTTATACTAGCATTCTTTAGTCCAACTTTACCTCAGGTCACTTATCAAAACTTTCTAAGGAGTTTCCACAGTGTTTTCTTGTTTTGTCTGTGAACATTTGAATCTGAGAGAGATCCCTTAACAATACTTTCTAACAAAAAGTGCAAAATAGTTGGGTGAACAAATTAGTTGGTCACAGTCCAGACATTAGGCTGAGGGTCCCAAAACATGAAGTCATAGCAACTATTTTAGCAACAATTTCAGTGGGTTTATTTTAGTCCAAATTTTAGACAGTGTTCCCTCTGGGACTTACTACTACTTCATAAATGTATTTATGCTATAACTCATATTGGTAGACTGATATTTTAAATGCTATAATTTAAAATTACATTGGCCAATTGTGGAAACTTGATACAAAAACTGTATTGCTTAAGAGGTGCCTTAGAATCAAAAGGGAGCAATATTTCAAATACTAAATGCAAGTGCTTATTTCAGATAATGTTTGGCAGTGTATCAAATAAAAGGTTACAATTTAATGTGGCATCATGACATTTACAAAATTGTGAAATCATCACTACACATTAGGTTAGATAATTTTCATCTTCCTAAGAAGAGATCCTATACCTACTAGCTGGGGCCCAATATCTCTTTTCCCCAACTCACTGACTCCTTCAGTCCTTGGCAACTACGATTCTACTTTCTATTTCAGTAGATTTTCCTATTCTGGACCTTTTATAAAAATTGAAATATACAACACATGGTCTTTTATGACTATATTATTTTCCACAGAAAAAATGTTATGACATCTTGATATATATATACCACAGTTTCCTTAATCAATCCACTGTTGATGGGCACTTAGATTGATTCCATGTCTTTGTTGTATAAATCTTTTGCACTTTTAAAATAGTTTTTAATATATATATTATATATTATATATATAGGTACTAAAATTGACAAAATTCAACACAGGAAATTAAACTCTTACCCAGAAAGAACATAAGCTGGGTAAAATTTTCCCAAGCCAAAAACTGAGACACAATTTGAGAGGATTCCTGTGTATTAATAATGACTGCAGATCACAGATTCCATAATGATTACATTAAAGTATGACATCACTATATGGATTAACCATGTTCTCAGCAACTTTACCTTTTCCTAGAAAGCCCCAATATAAATAGTACTTTTAAGGGTTAAAATGAGCTCTTCAATCACTTTCTTCTTTCCTAAGCAGAAACATTATGTAATAACATCAGAAATCCGTCCACTTGATTTCACATTTCATCTATCTATTCGGTCTTTCTAATTAAATACCCTAACCTCCTTAATACCCTAACAACTCAATAGTCTTTCTCCTCATTTCATTGTCTTCTGTGATTAAAAACAACAATGACAACAGCAACAAAACACCTAGGTGAACATACTCTTCTGTTGTTTCTCTGCTTGCACTCAAGCAGCTGAGTTCTCTGGGAATAAATCATAATGTGTGAAAACAGGTACTACTATTAATTCATCATCACTCACATAAAAATGGCAAAAGAGCAATCCATAAAAACCAATTTTCTTCGTTCTTTCTTCCTTTCATAGTCCCATGAATAAACTCCCTAACACACCTTTAAGTTGACATATGAAATTTTTATACTTTTATTAAATTGCAAAGATGTAATTTTTGCCATATTGTATATCATATAAATTCTTTAATGAAATTTAAATAAGATTTCATTAAAACTTCAGAGCAGCATATTTTTCTTGTTTCATGTATGTAAAATGTCTGTTATGTAAACGAATTGGCAAGGCCAGACTCCATAGTCAAACCAATCAGCTACATCAGGCCTACTTTCTGTCAGAAAGTGTCTTACATCATTTTTCAATTTGAATAGAAACATTAATACATGCCCTCATGACAAACACATTACTTTTGAAATTTGACTCTAATATAACTATCAACTAGCTAAAGCATGAAGACTTGCCATGATTTTGTCATTTTTATGTAATCAATTACTGTCCCCTTTAATATTTCTTGCTTAGCCTCTATGGGGGATATATTTTAGAATCAAATTGACTCTTTGTCATCCTAGAAGGATCCAGAAATGCATTATGTTGTTAATAATTGAAATGTTTTGTGTGTTTGTGGAGAAAAATGGATGATTGTGAAAGAGGTAGAAAAGCAGAACTGAAAAACTCTCTTCAGACATTACTCCTCTAGGAAAGAGTGCATTTTGGAAAATGAGATACTGAAAATATCTCAACCAATCTGCTGCCTTAATAGTCTTAGATTTATCTTTATACACATACTTTGGAGATCACAGCAATTCTACCACATTCCTTTGTTGATAAATTTGTTGATACGCCTTGCGAACCCCAAAAATTTGAGACAGGTCTCAGTTAATTTAAAAAGCTTATTTTGCCTAGGTTGAGGACACGCCCACAACACACCCCCAGGATGTCCTGATGACATGTGCCCAAGGTCGTGAGGGCACAGATGGTTTTATACATTTAGGAAGACATAAGACATCAATCAATATATACAAGAAGTACATTGGTTCGGTCTGGAAAGGTGAGACAACTTGATGCAAAGGCAGGAAAGAAGACTCAAAATGGGGAGAGAGCTTCCAGGTCACAGATAGGTGATACATAAATAGTTCTTTTGAGTTTCTTATTAGCCTTTCCAAAGCAGACAAATCAGATATCCATCTATCTCAGTGAGCAGAGGAGTGGCTTTGAATAGAATGGGAGGCAGGTCTGCCCTAAGCAATTTCCAGCTGGAGTTTTCCTTAGTGATCTTGGGGGCCCAAGATATTTTCCTTTCACAACCTGCAATAATTTTTCTGAGGCTCTGCTATCCTCAAACCTTGTCATCAATGGTGACTCCTTTTCTTCTTCTTTTTTTTAATTTTTATTTTTTTGAGACAGGATCCTGCTCTGAAGCCCAGGTTGGCAGTTGATGCTTTTCCATGTAACTTTTAGTCAATTTTTTAAACATTTATTTTTTAATAAACTTAATACGTTTAATGAAATATTGTGTTGTGTAGGAATTGCAGGGGTTTTGTTTGTTTGTTTGTTTGTTTTTTGAGATGGAGTCTTGTTCTGTTACCCAGGCTAGAGTGCAATGGCATGATCTCAACTCACTGAAACCTCCAGCTTCCGGATTCAAGTGATTTTCCTGCCTCAGACTCCCAAGTAGCTGGGAATTACAGGCATGCGCCACCACGCCTGGCTAATTTTTGTATTTTTAGTAGAGACAGGGTTTCACCATGTTGGCCAGGCTGATCTCCAACTTCTGACATCAGGTGATCTGCCTGCCTCAGCCTCCCAAAGTGCTGGGATTACAGGGGTGAGCCAGCATGCCCGGCCAGAATTGCAGTTTTTAACTATTATCTTTCAATATTTTTTGTCTTATTTGCCATGAATTATTTTATAATTCAACATTGAAAATAAATCCTTTTATTCTAATTCGTAAATTTTGGAGAATTGCATATCTCTCTTATATCCATAAAAAATCAAAATATTATTTAATTGCATTTTACAGTTTCATAAATGCCTTGAGGAACATCATCTCCCTTTTGGGAAGTTATGCCAAGAAATCCTTGCATGACATTGTTTTATAAAGGAAAAGACTGAGATATCCAGTACTAAATGAGGTATTAGATAATGCTTTGAGGGAAAGTGGAATTAAATTCACACAGATCAGACTCCTTCTCTTTCTGTGGAAGCACATCCAAAACTTTTATCCATTGTCAAAAAAAAGGCATTTCACAGTATATATTCCAAACGTAATTAAAAGTATTGGAGGACAGGTGAAATTTATTGGCCAGAATTGGAATTTTATTGATTTATTGAATCAAACTGATGGATTAGGAAACTCCAAGACTCTATAAGTATAAAGTATTTAATAAGACACGTTAAATAAAATCCTGATAAAAATTTATATAAGCAAAATAGCAAATTTAGTGATCTAGTGACAAATTATCAGGTATATCAGTGACTGAGAAAATAAAGATTTCATTAAATCTAAGCTTGGAATCATCTTAGTTACTTCAAGGGAAATATTTGATGTATATTACATGACATATATATGAAATGTGCATATGCATTTTTATTGCTGACTTGCAAACCTCTTCCTGTAAACTTACAAACTATTCCCAGTGGGAAATAGTTTAGTTAGACTAAGACATCAGATAAGTGCAAGAGACATAAAGTAAGAGTGGCTTAAAAAATGGCAGGTAGATTTGATTATTACACATTGTAGGCCTGTCTAAAAACATCATGTATACTTTATACATATATACAACTATTATGAACCCATAACATTAAAAAAATTGAAAAACAAATTTTTAAAAAGAAAAATTATTTCTCTGTCATGTAAAAGTTGGAGCTTGTCAGGCATGCTATTTCAAAAAGTTACCTGGAGTCCAGCTCCTTGTGTATTATGGCCACACAATCTCTATGGAATGTTTTCATTCATACACTCACAGACAACTCACGACCCGGTGTTTACAGCAGACGCTGAGAGGTGAAAAGAGAAAATAAATGACATAGACCCACCTTCTAAGGAAACAACCAGGAAATTGTACACATTAATTCCGCCTATATTCTTTGCCAGAATATACCCATACCTGGCTGCAAAACGAACACAAATAACTGGAGTATATCATCTGTATTCTAGCTAGGTGTGAGCCCAGTATAAATTCACACTATGAAAATGGCGAAAAAAAGAAATTGGCATGTACAACTTTCAGAATTTGCAATTTGGGAGGTACGAGATTAACTAAAAATGTCAAAATTAGCAAGTCAAAGTCAGATCTTAAATATATGTAGGTACTATTTTGTATGCTTATTTACATTTTTATTTCTAAAGGGGCAGTATACTTCACTAAAAACTTTCCAAACATAAATACCAAACATTAAGAAGTAGAAATGCTTTCATTTCACTGAAAAATTTCTCATGTAGATACGTTTTATTTTCTGTAACTGCAGGTATAATTTTAAATGATAATATAAGTCCTCTAATGCTTGCCAGAAAAAAAATTTTAATAGGACTTCTATATTTATATTAAAGGATTGTACAAATGGTAATAAAGACTTAAAATTTGATAAATGAATGGTTTTGACATAGAATGTCACACAAGAAGATTAAATAATATTATTGCTTTTTTCATTGAATAAATGGTTGTAAAAAAGTATTTGTACTCAAGTGTTTTCTACCCAATAAACTATAATATCTCCTGGAAAAATATTCAGTGCCTTGCCACTATTAAACATCAATCAATTTCTTTTAATATGGCTGGTATATTGGAACATATTAGTAGACAGGCAAATAATTGTTGCTTTCATAAAGACTGTATTCTGTTGGGAGACACTTGAATCTAATTATGCACAAATCATAATAAATGCATGATTACCAACTGAGATTTTTGACTATTAAAGAAACCATTCATGTAAATGAAAATAAATAAATCTTAATTAGGATAGGGATTGGGGTAGGGCTTTAGCGGCTATTCTGTAGAAATAACTGTTTATTTTAGATTTGAAAGGTAAGTAATTTTAAAGAGGCTCGAGAAGAATACAATGAAAAGAAGAAACAGCATGGACTCTTCTACAAGGAGGGAAGGAACATGAGAGATTTGTGAAACTGAGAAACCAACCAGCATTTAGAAATTAATGGAAGGTGCAGTGTGAGATGAATATGAAGTTGTTGGCAGAGACAAGATCACTCTAGGTCATAAAACCCACCATGTCAGCTATTTTTATATTAATCCTAAGAGAAATGTGATTTAATCACAGAGGCAGCACATACAGGGGTTAAAATCATAGATTCTGAAATCCCAGCTCTGCTATTTACTAGCTGTGTGACCTTCATAACTTCCTCCTGACAGTTTTTTTTCTCTGAAATGAGAATAACATATTATCTGCTTCTTAGAGTTCTTATGGGTATAATTGAATTTATAATCTTAAAGTATTTAAAACACTGCCAAGATCATAATAAATGCCAGGTAAGAATTTGATAAATGTGCATTTGAAAATGTAAAACACGAGAGGCTAAAATGAAAACCTAGTATTTAAGAAGTTAATTTTGCAGCCTAGTTTAGAGAAGCTGATAACCAAGGACTCCTAGTTTTCTGACTTTCAGAGACTCTGTTCTTGTTTCTAAATGCTAAGATTACCTGAGAGAAGCCACTTTGCAATGTGTATGCTTCCCATTGACGTTTGTCACCATGCTTCACCTCCAAATTGGGACCATGAGTCCAGCCTTTGCTCTTCTCCACGAACTGAATTATGCATAGGGCTTCCATTCTACTCATCCCAGGAAGAAACAGTCCCCATAGGATGTCTTCCCTGTGGAACTAATTATGGTTATTAATTGTATGCAAAATTAAACTGTAAAGTGGAGTAAAAGCTTTGTGCAGAAGCATAATATTTAATTGAGTGCTAATTCTATTGTGATTATTTTAAATAATAGGAGCGTGGTAGTTAAAAAAAATGTATAGCAATGGTTTGCTGGACAGCTAAAAAAAACCCTGTAAAAAAAAAACCTGTCCAGGTTTTTTACCTGGACAGGTAAAAAACCCTGCATATGATCACAAATGCCAAGGTATTCAAAAGATGGTTTATTTTATTTGTCAGTCAAAATGTATTGCTCAATTTGATTTGCTCTAACATTCTCTCACACTTGATCCTCATGTTGTGTAGGAAATATTTTCAGATTACATGCAGAAAACTACCTATGAAGACATCAATCAGGGCAGCAAAACTAGTACTGGATTTTCTAAATGTATCCTAAAGGATAGACCTGAAATTGATGAGGGAGAATGAAGATGTGGCTTTTTTTGTGTTATATTCATTGTCCTAATATATCTTATAGTGCTTGCAAATTTGATTTTCTTAAACCATACATGGAATACAGTTGTTTGTCAAGGGTTAAAAAGCATTGCAAGTTCTGAAGTAAACATGTACAAAGGTCATACATAGTATCCATACTGATTCAGGGAGGCTTTGTTGTGAAAAAGACACTTATATTTTCCTTCAGAGTTGAAACTATTTCTTACAAAATTGAAAGTAGATAATAGATTATAAATCAGTAAATCAGCAAAATGTTACCTTATCCAGGGGATGTCTAACATGAGGTCAGTTAAAATGAATAATTACTTTAAAGCTGAGGTGTGGATCATCTTGGTATCCTTCCAAATCCCAGATGTCCTACCTGAAATCAAGTCCAACCTCTTTAACAACCTCTCCAAAACAATCTTGATTGCTTCGTGTTCATACATCATAAATTGGTTTAAAATAGAGAGGCACAATATCCAAGATAGTATAGAATCATAAGAAAACTTTTAAAAACTCTTATAAAAATATAAATGCATTAATTTTAGCAATATTTGGAGCAAAATTATGTGTAGTTTTATGAATGCATATTTTATTAATACGTGGATTTTTCTATGAAATTATCAGGCTTAGTATGCTTTATTTCAAGCATAAGATAGACAGTAACGAAATGGGTTTACTTTATTTTTCATTGCAAATATGCCAACAGCTAATCACCTATTTTATTTTTTAAATTGTTTATGTCTTGAGAAAACAAAACTATCTAAAGTTAAGCCTCGCTGAAAGAGTAAGCATTGTTTATTTGTGTTAACATATACATTATCGAGCATCTATTTGGCATAGAGAATCTTGTCTAATCATTTTGATTTGGTAGTATCTGAAGTCATTCCCTTTTTTCATATTTATTTGCAATATGAAAATGTTTCCAATTTGAAGATAAGTTAATTTTTTCATTTTTCTGAGAAAATAGAGACAAAAAGATGTTTTAATAACTAGCTTATATTGAAAAATTGAGTTTTAGCACGTAACCTTTTCAAGCTAGTTATATTTGAGATAATTAGTAAGGATAAGCAATGTCTAGAAGCTGAGTAAGTCATAATTAATTTCAGCTATCTCTGGTAAAAAATATTCATGGATGAAAGAAATTTCAGAAAGAATTTTATTTGACTAAAATTAGCAAGAAAATAATTAATCCAGGAAAATTTTCTTGATAAACCATAGGTAGGTTGATATTCATTAATTTTCTCAAAGATAACAAGGTCACCTTTTCAGCTCTAATACCAGCACTCTCTTAGCAATACCTGATCTGCATAGATATTGATTTCTCCTTCAGTTCTCAAATTGGGTTCACTGGTCGAGTTGTAAGGAGCTCCCTCTGCACTACTTGTTGCTGATCAAGGTCTGTTTATTAAGAGTGAAGCTGCTTAGCTTTTCCAAGATTCCACCAAGATAATCAGAATCTGGAATATTCAAAACAGTTTTTTTAAAAATACACACACGTGGAGAAAAAGGCAATTAGAAGAAATCAAAATGCAGTTTGAAATAATCTATAGCAAAAGGAAATAGAATCTTATAGAATAATATATTTTTAAAACCTATGTAAACACACAATTATTTGGAAATCTAAGTTATTATTATTATATAACCTTCTTGATAGATGGGAAATAAACTAAATATTATGGTTAAAGTAACCATAATTTATACATAAAACAAAGAAAATAATTTTTAAGAAACATTCTGCAAAGATATACACACGTGTAAAACTGATGCAAAGCAAGAGAATATTATTATATAAAACATTACATCATCAAGATTTATTTGTGCATTTCTACTGCATGCTACTAAACTAATATTTTTCCATCCTAAAAATCCAAATTCTTAACTCCTAAGAAATAATATCTCTATATTTCTGTGGCCTTTTTTGCTAGGCCTGAGTTTAAATTTGCCCAAGTGCCACACATGAGCTCAGGTGCTATTTAATTCATTCCCCTGCAGGTGAATAGGGTATATATATGTGGACCTTTATAACTTCTACTACTTTGCTGTAGTGCTGAGGGCTGTTTGTGGTGGCTTACAGAATGAGAAATCAATTAAAATATCTCAACGGGCAGTACAGTGTATTGCGCTGTAATCATGTTATATATATTCATAGACATAGATAAAGTTTTCTCTACTGTTATTTTACGTATGTTACTCTAGGAAGTTAGAACTCTCACTCAACGAAGTAGAATAAAAACTCAATCATATAATAACAGAAAAAATTTTTCAATATACAATAGAATTTTTTTCCACAAAGCACTGAAGCAACAATAATTAAACGTGTTAATGGTTAACACAGTCGGAGGATCAACATAACAGTATCAACTGTGTTGGATATAGGCAAAGTTGGGCAAACCAAAATCAATATCACCACTAGAACAAACAAAAAATTAAAATAAAATTCAAGCACAATTTATGGATTTCAACAAGTGTGTTTGATTACTAATACCTAGATTAAAACAAAATGAAAGAAATTACAGTGAGATAAAAAGTATTTGTTTCTCATAACAATATCCATAGTAAATAGCAAAGTTTCTTAGGCCTGCAATACACGCTAAAAACAATTGAGTGCATGCATGAATGAATGAATGAAAGAATGAATACATCCTTATTCTTTGCTTTGTCTTAAATTACATTTGGTGCAATTGTAGAAAATACAGTAATTTCTTAATGGAAGAACATGCAGCAGTTTGGTGATTCAACTAACTACAATGGGATAAGGTTATTGTGGTCCTCTGTAATTTAGATTTAAAAGGAATAGTTTTCTGAGAGATGTCAGATGAAAAGGCTATCCCCAAAAAAGAAACCATTGTTTCTTTGGCATTTTCTGCTCTCCCACTGCAAAGCCTCTCTTCTGCAAATGTGGAAAATATATAAAAATGATTGTCTAACAGGGAGGCTATGATTACTTTGCTTAAAATCATATTTTGTTGGATACATCTGTGTAAGAATTTTCCAGTTAAAAATGAAGTTATATTGAATGTGGATTTAATGTTAACGACCCTTAGATTTTCCTATTTATATGTTTCAAACTAATAAGAGCTAACCCAAAAATAGTGTGATAGGAAAAATAATGGCCTCCCAAAAATATCTATGTCCTAATCTCCAGAATTTGTGACTACATTCTGTTACATGACAAGGGGCGATTAAGGTTACAGCTGGAATTAAGTTTGCTAATTTGATTACTTTCAAATCAGAAGATTATCCTTGGCTAACCCCAGTGCAACCAATGTAATCATAGGATCCTTACATGGGGAAGAAGGGGTAGAATTGTCAGAATCAGAGAGATGGGAGAGAAGGAGGCTCAGAGAAAATGACAACTTAATCTTGCTGGTGTTGAAGATAAAGGAATGTGGCCACAAGATAAGGACTAGGGGTGGCCTGTAGAAGCTGAAAAGGCAAGTAAATGAATTCTACCCTAAAGCCTCTAGAAAGTAATGCAGCCGTACAGGTATGGTGAGTTTAGGCAGTAAGTCCTAGTTCAGACTCCTGACATAGCAAACTGAAAGATAACAAATTTGGGTTATTTTAAGCCACTATGTTTATAGTAATTTGTTACAGCAGCAATAGAAAACTAATAACCTGGGTAGTTTATTTAATCTTAATAGTAACTATAAATGGTGAATGCAGTTAACAAATGTCACATTGTGATGGGAACATATTGATGCAACTGAATTTTATTTTAATATTCTGAATGAAAAATTATGAATTTCCAACCATCAATAAAATGTATGTACATACCTCCAAAGTGATCAGTAAATTCCCGCTCTGACAATAATCCCCTATGTCTCAACATATAATGTTTACTTAAATGCAATGAAGAAAAATACCTAAGACAGCTGAGCTACAGAAAGAAAAATAGAACTGTGTATGACAGAAAAATTCCTACAAGAACTGGAGATAAGATTTTAAGGTCACAGATCTCTGAGCTATAATTGTGCAGTGGTTGTGCTGGTTTGCTTCCCATGGCCAGAAACAGGATTAAAGTTAGGCTCACTGCATGAAGCCTGGATCCGATGGAGACCCACAGAAACCCTCCCTCATGAAAAGAGACTGAGAAAACTCCTGACACATACCACTTTTTTCAAATGCCAACATGTGCTTTGGTCGACTATATGCTAGTGACAAAGAAAGACACAGACACAAAACGTTTAAATCTAAACCATTCAGTTTCTCTGAGGATGGATCTCCATTTCCCAATTCATCTTTGCATAGTGAACCTTAACATTAATTATGAGGCATCTTTCTGAGTCTGAGTCCTGAAGTGCTAAGTGAAGGCAAAAATACAGCATCAACAACAACTATTAAAAAGCCTTGACAGTATTAGTAAAGGAATGCTTTATTTATTGTATTGAAAGCATGGATACATGTATAGCAATCCCAGGGCCTTTTGAGTGTTTCAGAGTTGTGGCATTAATAATAATCTCAACCCTATCTGACCTCTGAAGTTAGTTAATATAAGGTCAGTGGCAAGTAAGGAGTGGGGCCTTGATACATGGAAGGGGGACATTTGTAAAGAATCAGATAAGATTAAAAACCGTAAGACCCCCGGACACTTGAAACTCCTTCCTCAGCCAAATAGTCTTTGCATCACTATTGGAGGGAACTTGCCATCCCTGCATAACAACTTCCAAGGACTTCACCAGCTGCAGTTGCCACACAACCAAAACTCTTCAGGATCCCAACCCACAAGCCCTAATTACCTCCAGCCTAGAGTGCAATGTAGATCTCAAAATATCCCAGTCACAGAAATACAAAACATAGTATGGAAGAAGATAGGCTATAAAAATAAATTTTTTAAAAAGTTGTTTGCCCTCACCTATTTATATAGGCAAAGGTAAATTTCTCAGAAGGAAACAGATGACAAACTGAAAAGGAGTAATTTGGAGTGAATATTTCCAAAGGCATTTGAGCATCCTTGAAAAGATGTACAGTCACCTGAGCTTACTGACTTCTGTAGGTCATAGGGGATATTGGACGATGTTGCAATGAATTGAGTTTCCAGCTATCAATGGGAATAATGGGATCCTAGCACAATAGAGGCCAAATGGTACTGTTAACCATCAAAGGCAAGGATAAATGCAAGCCATCAGGCATCTGAGTATATGGCTAATTGGTTATAGTGTCAAGAAATACCTAAGAAATAGAAAAACTTTAAATTATGGCTTCCCATAAAATTTTGCAAATAATAAAAATGATGCTTATTATAAGTTTAATAGGAAGACAAAGAAGTTGAACCAATAGGGTGGAGATTCATGGCTTCTTACCCATTCACTTAAACAGATCACAGACCAACAGACCTTCGATAAAGGGGAATCCAGAAACTCTGAAGGTACTCTGTAACATACCTCATGCACACCGTAAATTTGTCCTATCCACAATACATTAGAGACATGAAATGCTCAGAGCTGTTAGGGGTTGATATGGTTCTGATCTGTGTCCCCACCCACATCTCATGTTCAATTGCACTCCCCAGTATTAGGGTAGGGCCCTGGTAGGAGGTGATTAGATCATTGGGACGGATTTACCCTATGCTGTTCTCGTGATAGTCAGTGAGTTCTTACAAGATCTGGTTGTTTAAAAGTGTGTAGCATTTCCCCCTTCACTCTTTCTCTCTCCTGCCACTATGTGAAGACTGAGCCTGCTTCCCCTTCGCCCTTTTGCCATTATTGTAAGTTTCCTGAGGTCTCCCAGCCATGCTTCCGGTACAGTCTGCAGAACTGTGAGTCAATTAAACCTGTTTTCTTCATAAATTACCCAGTCTCAGATAGTTCTTTATAGCAATGTGAAAATGGATTAATACAGGGATTATTAGATGCTGGCTCTAAATTGACACTGATCTTCAATGATCTAAAATCCAACATAGGCCATGAATCAGAGAGACAACTTGTGCAGGTTAGATGATAGTTGAAGCTAATTCTGGCTTGAGTCTGACTCACAGTGGTTCCATTGGCACTACATATCTCCTGTGGTTAATTAACCAGTCTCAAAATATACAGTGTAATAAGATATATTTCATAGGTGGAATATTTCAGTATTGGCTCCTGACCTGGGAAGATATGTTATGGTATATGATAATCAGGTAATAAATGAAATGTCACCCTTGGCCCAGATCACAGTGGGTAAACCGGGTCTATCTACAGAACTACAGGGTAGTCATTTATTTACCCAGTCCCCAAACGCATTAGAATAAACATACTTGTTAAATCATACAATCCCACCATTTTGGTTCTTTGTGCCACAGATTATGAGCTAATATAAACAGAACGGCTAGATTGAAGCCTCTGAAATGGGTATTAAATTAAAATAATAACAATCCCATAGAAACTGCCAGGAAACAATGTCATCCTTAAATATTAAAGGATGCAAAAGTACTAGTAACTGATATTTCTAATTAATTTGCCAGATTTGCCCCTGCAAAAATCAAACATCCTGAAGGATAAGGTGATTGCCATATGTTCAACCAAGTACAGGAAAACCTCAGAGATATTGCTAGTTAAGCCCACCACTGCAATAAAGCAAATATCACAGTAAAGTGTGTCACAATCTTTTTTATTTCTAGTCCATATAAAAGTTATGCCTGCACTATACTGTAGTGTTTTTTGTTGTTGTTGTTGTTGTTTTTGACAGAGTCTTGCTCTGTCACCCAGACTGGAGTGCCGTGGCACCATCTCGGCTCACTGCAAGCTCTGCCTCCCGGGTTCACACCATTCTCCTGCCTCAGCCTCCCGAGTAGCTGGGACTACAGGCGCCCACCACCACGCCAGGCTAATTTTTTGTATTTTTAGTAGAGACAGGGTTTCACCGTGTTAGCCAGGATCCTCTCGATCTCCTGACCTCATGATCCGCCCACCTTGGCCTCCCAAAGTGCTGGGATTACAGGCATGAGCCACCGCGCCCGGCCACTATACTGTAGTTTTTTAAGAGTACAATAGCATTATGTCTAAAAACCAATATAAGTATTTTAATTTAGAAATAAATTATTGCCTGTTGCTAAAGAATGCTAGCAATTATGTGAAACTCTATTGAGTGGGAATCGTATTGCTGGTGGAGGTTCTTGCCTCATTGTTGATAGCTGCTGATTGATTAGGGTGGTGGTTGCTAAAGGTTGAGGTGGCTGTGACAACTTCTTAAAATAAGACAACGTTGAAGTTTGCAGCACTAATTGACACTTCCTTTCATGAAATATTTCTCTGAACCACGCTATGCAATGCTGTTTAATAGCATTCTACCCACAGTAGAACATCCTTTAAAACTGGAGAAAATCCTCTCAAACCCTGCCACTGCTTTATCCACTAGGTTTATGCAATATTCTAAATATTTTGTTGACTTTTCCACAATGTTCAGTTCATCTTCACCAATAATAGATTCCTTCTCAAGAAACTACTTACTTTGATCATCCATAAAAAGCAACCCCTGAGTTTCAACAAGAGTTTGCTTTATGTCAAATGTTACATGATCAAGGTAAATTAAGTATCATACTTACCACATAGTTTCTAACCCTCAGGCTAGATTTTTTAAGTGTCCAAATAAAAACGCTTTGCTTTTTTATGTTTATTGTGTTATTGTTAATTATAAGTAGTTTTTTTGTTTTTTTCCCCCAAGATGGAGTCTCACTCCTGTCGCCCAGGCTGGAGTGCAGTAGCACGATCTTGGCTCACTGCAAGCTCTGCCTCCCGGGTTCACGCCATTCTCCTGCCTCAGCCTCCCAAGTAGCTGGGACTACAGGCTCCCGCCACCACATCCGGCTATTTTTTTTTTTTGTATTTTTAGTAGAGATGGGTTTTCACCATGTTAGCCAGGATGGTCTCAATCTCCTGACCTAGTGATCCGCCCACCTCAGCCTCCCAAAGTGCTGGGATTACAGGCGTGAGCCACCATGCCCTGCCAATTATAAGTAGTTTTAACCCCTTTTGGATTATGATATGTGTGTGTGTGTGTGTGTGTGTGTGTGTGTAGTATAATTTTGGTCTCTGTGCTTTCAGAAATCACCCTACTTATTTCTCTGTTCCAGAATTCTGGATTCAATTTTAAGCATGATAGATTTAAATATATGAGAACATTTATGTTGCTTTTGGAGTTAGATTATAGTTATAAAATGAAACTAAGAATCTAAGGTGCTGATTTCACAGAGTTAATGGATAGGCAGGTAAAATATATGTTGAATGCCATTCATGTAAGTCTGTTCATAATGTATTTTATAACATTTCTGTATACAAGAGCAAAAACAAAATGGCCATGGCACAAATAATAATTCATATTAAGTCAATAAAAATAGAAAACAAGCGATAATGTTATATATATTGTATATACATGCTAGCAATGAAAAAATTATTTACTCATTTCATGCAAATTATTTTTATCTAACTCAAGCATTCATTTGAAAGTAGGTGTGAACATTATTTTCTGTAGCTGTAAGCTGTATTAGGATGGTAATATGAAGACACTTCATTTCCAATATATAGTTGTCGAATCTCAAAGCATTGTCTGGAACCAATTATCCATGCTGCTCTAGCCTTAAATATCAGATATCATGATTCTGATACCCTTGATGTGGAAAAATCTTTTGACAAAATGCAACATCTTTTCATGATAAAAACCCTCAACAGACTAAGCATTTAAGGGACATGGCTGAAAATAATAACAGCCATCTATGACAAACCCACAGCCAACATCATACTGAATGGGCAAAAGTTAGAAGCAGTCACCTTCCGAGAATTAGAACAAGACAAGAATGACCATTTTCACCACTCTATTCAACATAGTACTGGAAGTGCTAGCCAGTGCAACCAGGAAAGAGAAAGAAATAAAAGACATCTAAATAGGAAAAGAAGACAAACTACTTCTCCTCACAGACAATATAGTTCTGTACCTAGAAAACCCTAAAGACAAGGCCAAATGGCTCCTGGAATGAAGAAGTAACTTCAGTGAAGTTTCAGGATACAAACTCTATGTACAAACCACTAGCATTTCTGTACATCAATAATATTCAAGCTAAGAATACAATCAAGAATGCAATCCATTTAGAATAGCCACCAAAAAAACCACCTAGAAATACATCTAACCAAGGAGTTGAAAGGTCTCTATAAGGAGGAATACAAAACACAGCTGAAAGAAATCACAGATGATACAAACAAATAGAAAAACATTTCATGCTAGTGCTAGATATATATTCAAAAGAAAGTAAATCATTCTACCAAAAAGACACATGAACTCACATATTCATTGCAACACTATTCACAATAGCAAAGACGTGGGATCAACCTAGGTGCCCATCGATGGCAGATTGGATAAAGACAATATGGTACATATACTCCATGGTATAACAATGAATGAAATCATGTCCTTTGCAGCAACATGGATGTAGCTGGAGGCCATTATCCTAAGTGAATGAATGCAGTAACAGAAAATAAAATACCACAGATTCTCATACGTGGGAGCTAAACTTTGGGTACTCATGCACACAGAAATGGCAACAAAAAAACTGGGGACTATGGAGGGAGGTAGGGAAGGGGACAAATTGAAAAAGTACCTGTTGGGTACTATGTATGCTCAGTGCCTGGGTGACAGGATCAGTCTTACCCTAAACCTCAGCACCATGCAATATACCCAGGTACCAAACCTGCATATGTAACCCCTGAATCTAAAATAAAAGTTGAAATTATTTTTTAAAAAAGAAAAAACCGTTTCCTTGTTTCAATTGCTTCATTCATCAATGTCCTGCCTCTTGGAATATTAGATAAATGTAGTTGACAAAAATTTAAAAACAAAGCATTTTTACTTGTGCAGTTGAAAAAAACAAGTCTGAAGGGATCAGGGATATTTCATTGCTTCTACTTACTCTGAGTCTCCAACTATAAAGCATGTCATTCACAGAAATGACATAGATCATAAATCCTTTTTTACAACTTATATGTTTTGGCTTCATTTTTATTAGGTCACAGGTGACCTAATAATACATATATGTATTGTGATATACCTAGGTTCTTTGGAGGGAGCTACTCAAATCTAAAAACCATAATTTCAACAGCAATTATTCTAAAGGATTTGCCCAACTGAGGAACAATAATAATGGGAGAGACTCTTTGTTTGGGTCCTTACTATTACACTAATAAAATACTGCTGTACATGATGAAACATACAACGAAATAAAAACACCATACGGGCATACCTCAGAGATATTGCAGGTTCAGTTCAGATCACCACAATAAAGCCAATGTCAAAATAAAAAGAGTCATACAAATTTTTTGGTTCCTGAACGCATACAAAAATGATATTTACCCTATACTGTGGTACATTAAATGTACTATGGCATAATCTAGAAAACAATATTCATATCTTAATTTTAAAATATTTTATTGTAAAAAGTGCTGACAATCAACTGAACTTCCAGCAATAATAATCTTTTCTTTTGTGGATGATTTCACCTTGATGCTATTGGCTGCTGACTGATTAGGGTAGTGGTGGCTAAAGCTTAGAGTGGCTGTGGCAACTTCCAGAATAAGACAATAATGATGTTTGCCACATTGATGGACTCTTCATGAAAGATTTCTCTGTAGCATGTAATGCTGATTGATAATATTTTACCTAAAGTAGAACTTCTTTCTTTCTTTTTCTTTCTCTCTCTCTCTCCCTCCCTCTCTCTTTCTTTCTTTCTTTCTTTCTTTTTGAGACAGAATCTTGCTCTGTCGCCCAGGCTGGAGTGCAGTGGTGTGATCTTGGTTCACTGCAAGCTCCGCCTTCCGGGTTCACGCCATTCTCCTGCCTCAGCCTCCTGAGTAGCTGGGACTATAGGCGCCCGCCACCACGCCCGGCTAATTTTTTGTATTTTTAGTAGAGACGGGGTTTCACCGTCTTAGCCAGGATGGTCTCCATCTCCTGACCTCGTGATCCACCTGCCTTGGCCTCCCAAAATGCTGGGATTACAGGAGTGAGCCACTGCACCCAGCCAGTAGAACTTCTTTCTTTCTTTGTTTTTTGAGATGGAGTCTCGTGCTTGTCACCCAGGCTGGAGTGCAATGGTGCGATATCGGCTCACTGCAACCTCTGCCCCCTGGATTCAAGCAATTCTCCTGCCTCAGCCTCCCAAGTAGCTGGGATTACAGGCGTCCGCCACCACACCCAGCTAATTTTTTTCTTTTTTGAACTTTTAGTAGAGACGGGGTTTCGCCATGTTGGCCAGGCTGGTCTCAAACTCCTGACCTCAGGTGATCCGCCTGACTCGGCCTCCCAAAGTGCTGGGATTACAGGTGTGAGCCACCGCGTCCCATGGGGAACTTCTTTCATAATTGGGGAAAATTCTCTCAAACTCTGGGGCAGTTTCATCAACTAAGTTTATGTACTAATCAAAAATTTTTATTGACATTTCAACAATGTTCACAGTATCTTCACCAGGAGTAGTTTCCATCTCAAGAAATCACTTTCTTAGATCATTCATGAGAAGCAGCTTCTAATCCATTAATATTTGATGATGAAATTCAGTAATATATTCAGGTTCCACTTTGAATTCTAGATATTTTGCCATTTTTACCACATCTGCAGTTACTTCGTCCACAAAAATCTTGAACCTCTCTCAAAGTCAACCATGAAGGTTGGAATCAGCTTCTTCCAATCTACTGTTAATGTTGATATTTTGACCTCTTCCCACAAATCATGAATGTTCTTAATGGCATCTAGAATGGTGACTCTTTTTCAGAAGGTTTTCAATTTACTTTGACCAGACCCATCAAATCCATCATGATCTATGGCAGCTATAGCCTTAGAAAATTTATTTCTTAGGTAATAAAACTTGAAAGTAAAATTACTTCTTGATCCATGGGCTGCAAAATGGATGTTGTGTTTGCAGGCATAGAAACAACATTAATCTATTTGTACATCTCCATCAGAGCTCTTAGGTGACTAGGTGTATTGTCAGTGGGTGGTAATATTTTGAAAGCAATCTTTTTATTATTTTTTTTCCTGAGTAGTAGATCTCACTAGTTGGCTTAAAATATTCAGTAAATCAAGCTGTAAACAAATGTGCTGTCGTGTGGATTTTCGTTGTTATATTTTAGAGTGAATTTTGCAGAATTCTTAAAGGCCCTTAGATTTTCAGCATGGAAAACGAGCACTGGTTTTAAATTAAAGTCACCAGCTGCATTAGCCCAAGGGTTAACCTATCCTTCAAGACTTTGAAGCCAGACATTGACTTCTCTTTTGCTATGGAAGTCTTAGATTGCATCTTCTTCCAGTATAAGGCTGTTTCATCTATATTAAAAATCTGTTGTTTAGTGCATCTGTCTTGATCAATTATATTAGCTAGGTATTCTGGATAACTTGCTGTAGCTTCTACATTAGCACTTGCTGCTTCACCTTGCACTCTTATGTTAGCAGAGGCAGTTTTTTGTTTTTCCCCCTAAAGCTTCATGAACCAACTTCCACTAGCTTTAAATTTTCCTCTGCAGCTTCCTCACCTCTCTCAGCCTTCAGAGAATGGCAGAGAGTTAGGGTCTTTTTCTGTATTAGTCTTTAGCTAAAGATAGTGCTGGGGCTGATTTAATCTATCCAGACCACTAAAACTTTCTCTATACAGTAATAAGGCCATTTCACTTTCTTATCACTCTTGGGTTCACTGAAGTAGCACTTATACTTTCCTTCAAGAACTTTTCCTTTGCATTGAAGACTTGGCTCACTTTTTGTCACAAGAGGTCTAGCTCGTGGCCTATCTTGGCGTTCTACATGTCTTTCTGACTAATCTTAATTATTTCTAATTTTTTATTTAGAGTTAGAGATATGCAACTCTTTCTGTCCCTTGAGCATTTAGAGGCCATTGTAGGGTTATTAACTGTCCTCATTCCAATACTGCTGTGTCTTTAGGAATAAAATAGGTGGCCTGTGAAGAAGTAGAGAGGGAAGTAGAGAGGTGGGGCAATGATCATTCTCTGAAGCAGTCAGAACACATACAGCAGTTATCAATTAAGCTTGTCATCCTATATGGGCATGGATATGGCATGCAGAACAACTGCAATAGTAATGTCAAAGAGCACTAATTACAAATCAGTATAGCAGATGTAATAATAACAAAAACGTTGGAAATATTGCTCAGATTACCAAAATGTGTAATAGAAACACAAAGTAAACATATTAACACAAAGTAAACACGTTAGAAAAATGGCACTGATAGACTTGCTGGAAGCAGGGTTGCCACAGATCTTCAACCGGTAAATAATTCAAAATATGTGAAGTGCAATAAAGCAAAGTGAAATGAAAGGAGGTATGCCTGTACATTTTGCTACACACATTTAAAACAAACTTTATTTATTTATTTATTTGTGACAGAGTCTTGTTCTGTCGCCCAAGCTGGAGTGCAGGGGCGTGATCTCAGCTCACTGCAACCTCTGTCTCTTGGGTTCACATGATTCTCCTGACTCCGCCTCCCTAGTAGCTGGGATTACAGGTGCACAACACATCCGCCCAGCTAATTTTTATATTTTTAGTAGAGACGGGGTTTCATTACATTGGACAGGCTGGTCTGGAACTCCTGACCTCAAGGGATCCACCTGCCTCGGCTTCCCAAAGTGCTGGGATTACAGGTGTGAGCCACTGCGCCCAGTGTCCTATTAATTTCTAAGGAATTCGAAGATATTTATTTGGATATAATTCATTGAAAGAGTCTTTCTTTAGAATGAAGTGTGAATCTTACATTGTCCAGGTTCTTCAATACTCATCTTTGGAAACCTCGCTGTGCTTTTGTTAGGTCAGTCTGTGTCATCGTCTGAATCTTTGTGCTTCCCCCAAATTTATATGTTTAAACCTAATTCCCAATATGATGGTGTTAGGAGGTTGGGCCTTTAGAGGTATTTAGGTTAGGAGGCAGAGCTCTCCTGATAAGAACTATCCTTCTATTTAAACATATATATGCTTACAGATACATGTATATGTATACATGTGTGTATATATATATATACACACACACAATATTTTTCTCATTTAATTTTTACAAAAGTTAATGAGGTTGGTTTTATTACTTGCATTTTACAATAAGATTAATTGTACTAAATATCATTTGTTTTGCTGATTACGTTAACACTAACCTTGGTCAGAGGGGGATTCACTTCTGTCCCTTAAGTGAAGGTGTCCTGGACATTGGATTCAGCAGTGTGTGGTGCTGTGGCTGTTCATCCCGGGAAGAATGAAAGAGATTTAGTTGTTCCCTTTGGAATTTTTGAGTTTAGCTCTTAATTTCCTGTTTCAGGCAGCTTCAAACTCTGGCAAGTGCCTGGACAGGAAGACTAGCCATGTGCTTGTGGCAGAATCCCTCCCTCTGTGGGGCCTTTGCTTGCCAAGCACTATGAGACTGCAGAAAACTTCATCTTTTAGCTTCTAACCAAACACTTCACCCACAGCCTAAAATAAGGGTTGTGTTTTGGGCAAAGGAAAATATGATTATGAGTTTGGCCTCGTGGTTTCCATGTTCAAATGGCAGCTAGCTCCGAGTGATTACCACAAGCTCTACTGGTTTCTCTCCCTTTCAAGTGGAGTCTGTCTGGGCGCACCAGATCAGCTCATGACTAGATTCTGCAGTACTCCTAGGAACAAAATACCTGGTGATTGCCAGCTCACCTAGAAAGAAACCTTCCTTCTCTGGAATTCTTGCTCATCTTGTCTTTATTGTTTCCTTGACTCTTACATGTTTTTACACATCTGATTTTTAAAATTTAGTTTTTACGGTTGCTGAAACAGAGTGTTGCTCAACATTTAAACCAAATATTTTGATCTGTGATTATTTCCTTTTTTTTATAAGCTCCACGACATATTAATTTACCCAGCGTCTGGAAGGCCATAAAATTCCTTTCTGCTGCATACTTATTTTTCTATATTTATGGATGAAAGCATCCCACTTTTAAATTCTGTCTTTCCTTCATTCTCCCAATCCTATAATCTTCTTTTTTTCATTTTCTCCTTTTTCTGGCCTTGACTACATTTATATCACATCAACTGTTCTCCAGACTATACTCCAAAGAGAAAAATTGTGTTGTGCTCCTTCACCTATAAACTGTATCAATGTTCCTAAATCTAGGTCCTCGAAACACTTTGAAAAATCAAAAGCAACGTTTCGTTTTGTGGGTTTGTGAAGCTTCAAGTGCATCTTATCCCATGACTTCTCGTTTCATTTTAATTGCCAGTTTTCTTGTTTCTTCCTACCTTTTTCCTGTCTACCAACAATAAAATTTCACTTTTCCTCAGATATCTATCCTAACTATGTAACTGCTATTTGCAGAGAATATTGTTTTCAAGTATCCTCTCAAGTTTTTGTATGCACATGTAACCACTTACATTTTTCTTCTGTTTCTCACCTTTCAGTAAAATAATATCCTCTTTCTATCTAAGCCTAGTCTTTTCCTTTATTTCATGAATCAGAATTTCACCTGTTCCCTCAGAGACCTAACTGCATGTATTTTATTGCTTCTACCAAGAGTAATTTTCATTTCTGGATCTTTATTTTCAGTTTATAAGCATTCACAGCTCCTTGCAGTGAAAAAAAAATTATCACCTCAGCATATGTGGGTGTATATGCACTCTGTTAATTTTTTTCTAAGTGAATAATGGGGAAAATAGGCTAATAGGTTTGATATATAAATAATTATTATCACAAAAACACAGGAAGGAGAAATTAAAAAATATATATATTTTGTAAGTCTAACAAAATAAAAGTATGTTGAAATGATAATGTATTAGTATCTACTGGCCCTCATAGCTTGTCAGAAGTATCTGTTTTCAGAGCAGTATATGTAATAGGATTCCATAAATGAGAATGTATTTCAGGAAAGATATATACAAATTGTTAGCAGTGTTTAAGTTTGAGAATAGAATTCATAATAATTTCTAATTTGTATTTTCTATATGTCTAAAGCAAACATTAATTTTTTTAATTTTTGTAAGTAATAAAAAATGTATCATAACATCATGTTGTATACCTTAAATATACACAATAAAACTTATTTTAAAATATATACACCCCAAAAAGAAAAAAATACAAGGAATCTTTACTGAAATCCATGTCCTTCTTAAATATAATTTGATTTTTATCTTTTTATTCTTAAATTGCTTATTCAACATTTATACCTCAAATCAAAACCTATTTCCACATCTACCACTTCTAATAAAATTATTTCTACTCATGTTGAACATTATCTTTCAGGACATTCCTGTACTAAATGACCCTCTTTTTTAAAAAAAAACTTTGGTACATCATTCTATCCTTTTCATACCATTGATCCTTCTATCCCTGTTTTGTTTGTTTTTCTGTAATCATTTTTCCTTCCCTTTGCTTTTTTTGAATATCTTCCAGTTGTCTCCCTTAACCCTCCCATGTGCGAGGAATCCTCCCCCTGCCCCACCCAACATTATCTTTCTTTTCCCATGATATATGCTCTTAGAGAGGCGGTTGCTGGCTGCACACTATGTTCTCCTGGAAAAAGAAGCTCTCACAGTCCCTGAACTTGTGAGTCTCCCTACCCTGCTGTTCTGTGTGCCTCGGGTCATGGAAGCAATGACTCACACATTCTGCATGGCCGCCAAGGCCTCCTTGATACCAGATGGACCAAACCTGTACCTTCCGGTATATCCCTTTTATGGGAAGTGGTTGGCCTCCCCTCAGTTTAGTATTTTGTCAGATTCCATGGTGTTGAAGGAGTAAGCTTTTGCCACACCTCATGGCTACCTGGGGAGTTTCTTGAGATTACTTGAATGAGTTCTTACACTTTGTGGATCGTATTGAACCCATGAATGTGATAGAACTCAGTGCAGAGTGGCTGCTTTTCATTCCTTCTGCTTTTCATCCCATAAATGAGAATTTTCTGATCAAAGACCAGACCCAAATGACACAATTGGCCAAACCTCAGGCAGCTGTCAGCGCTAGACGCCCTGGCTAACAATTAGCCCCACCTGAACATTTTTACAGATTCTCGAGCCACTGAATAAAAGTTACCTCCATTAAGGAGAAGAATTCTGGCAATCTCCTGCCTTATAGAAACCCAAAATATAAATCAATATAACAAACATCTCTACATAGGCTACATATACTAAAGCCAAAATACGAGATCTCACCAAAACACATTTGTCTATTTCAGAGTTCTAAATATTATTGATGTGACCAAGGCACTCATTTCACTTATCGAAAGACACAATGCTGAGATCTTAATCAGGCATTCAGTGGGAACTTTCACCTTCCTTACTCGCCTCAGGATGCAGGCATCATAGAGCATCGTATTGGCTGATTTAAACATATCCAAATTCAATTAAATGCAACATGGCATGTTACAGTCAGCAGTCAAAAAGCAAGGATGAAGCATAATAAAGAATCTGTAACCATGTTTTCATAGTTGACTGCTATCAGTTTTTAATTTTGCACCACCTTCTTTTCCTTGTTCCCCACACATGCACAAGCTGATGAGAAAGTCTAGGTTCTCCGTCCTTTGCTGCTGATGAAAGAATCACATCATCTAAGCCCCTGCCCATGCAGAGGAGCTCTTACCCCCAGTCGCACCCCTATTCATAAAATAATCTTAAGCCATTCTTCCTTCTTTGCAGTTTCAAGACATTTTGAGAGACCTTCGTGTTCCTTCAGACTCAATTATATTTGCAGAAAACCTTTTCCTATCCTCCTGGTGTGAGCATGTAGCAACATCAGTCACAACATCTGAACTGAATTTTCGATGTAGGAGTATCCATCCTGCCTTTTCAGGCTGGGCAGAACAGAATATTAACAGAATGCTGTGTATATTAGATAAGTAAAATATGTGAAGCACTTAGGACAATGTCTGGCCTACAGTGAATGTTCACCCTACCATGTAAGTTATTTTATTAGTAAATGCCATGCACCACTCCTCTCCCTCCCAGTGTTTTGACATCTGAAACATTATATTAAGGTAAATATGGTTTCTGTCAAGAGGTATAAGCATTTAAAAAATGATTTCCCAACTTTGGAAGCAGTAAATCACTCCTGGGAGAATATTAAGATATAAGATTGGAGCTACAGTAGCAGCAGTAAAACACAGTCACGTATCTTTTATATAGTATCCTAACACCATTTGAAAAGCATTAACGTAAATTATGTACATATGCAGCTTTGTGGCCCAGTATGTACAGCTCAGCCTTTTAATTCCAGTTTTTCAGCTTCTGCCATTCCAAATTTCTGACCTAAGTCCTGACCATCAGATACATGATAGGAACTGGTACAGATATTGACCTCAGAGCAATTATTCTTTTAGGCATAAAGCAAATAAGGTAGAGAATTTCTAGTTCTACTTACTGTGAGAATTTCCCTGCTCTAGTATTCTTTAGTGCCAGTGCTTGGTAAGGCTGTAATGACAGAGAAGCTTACTTTGACACCGTGCTGACATATCCAGCTGAATTACCTGTAAACTGACTCAATATGCTTTTTTCTCTCTTTTTTTTTTCTGAAGCGATCAGATGAAGCAGATAATTTAGATTGGTTTGCTCAAGATTCCCTCTAACTGTCTTCCAGTATACTAGGATTCTAGATATGATTTATATTCTGTTAAGCAGTTTCACTGGTACATGACTTGAATTTGCAATTGAGTCATGGAGACAATGAGGAAGGCAAAATGCATCAGTTTTGCTGATATGAATCAGGTCATGGTGGATGTGACTCTGGGACCAGAAGCAGTGATGACATCTTCTTATCTCAACAGGCAGCTTTTATATTTCACAGTTTCTTACACAAAGTAGGCTCCTCTATTTGATAGCTTCATTCTGTAGTGTGGCAATGGAAGAGTTTCCTGAATATTTAATTTAGTATGTATTCCTGTCTCCCAGATCTCCTAATATTAGATTAATAACTTAATTTATAATAGCAATTATGTCTCCTTAAAATTAGCTAGAGTGAATTGTCTTTTCAGTACTGACAGATCTGCCTGACGGAGTCATTGTACAGTGCTGTTGCAAGCTACAGATACACAAGAAATAAAAAATCTGGGTTTTTTATTTCAGAGATGGATGATTTTGAAAACAGCCAGAATTTTGTTAACACTGGTATATGGCTACTGGTAGTCATTACCATGTGTTGATGTCTTAGGCACTTGGGTACTTACATTATCACTGTGGTTGCCTGAAATAAAGGGTATTAAAAAGGCATACTTTAGTAAAGTGTGTGGCCTCTGTAATAAGCCATTTCGTTAACAAAAGAAAAAATATGGAGGTCTGTGGAGTGAACTGGTGATTAGTAACACACACAATTTAAGGAAAGAAAATTACAAACGCATGATTTTAAATTTTCAGTTTAAAAATTTTCACTTGACCAAGAAGCTTCTGTAATTTCCTTCGATCATTTAACCATAAGTCTCATATTGCAAAAAAATCAGATGCAGAATCTGTCCCTTCAAATTGCCGTTTAAAGCCTAGATTAATTTTGCAGCTTCACAATAAATACTATGTGACCATCAAGGTATTAATTGGAACAACATTGAACACGGAGAATTGGAATTGCATTTTCAGTGAAAATTGGGAACACTATGAATAAAGCAAACTAAAGAATCCTTCTGAACCTTTTGTTGACAACAAAAACGGATCTGTTCCCCTTGTCTTATGCACCCATTATAATTTTATTTGAAACAACACATATCTTTATCCAAATCCAAGAGTATTACCTTGCAGTAGGAATTCTACACCCTCTGTCATGGTTGCATTGAGACAAATGTCCTGACCTATTAAAAGAGTTAGATAAGAGTATGTCCCAGGGGAACAGAACAAAGTCTGGCACCAAAGTAGAAGAAAGAGGCTCAGGCTAAGGAGGAAATAAGTCAAACTTAGATGGAACTATTTTTTTATATGGAAGTACTTAAAATTACTCTTTAAACACATAAATTCAAGAGTGGGAATGGTGCAAATTGTTTGCTAAAGTGAATGATTAGAGTGTGTATTTCATACCTATGCTAAATGAAGTTGAGATGCCAGATATTATTTGTTGAAAATTAGAAGGAGTCTAAGACTTAAGAAGATAGAAGTAGTGAAGGACTTTTACCAAATACAAATCAACAACTTACCTCAAAATATCTGTGAAGGTGTCAGATGACACCCCGTTTCACTATGTAATGACAAATGTATTGGTGTGAAGAAAACTAGTGTCTATGAAGAGTTCTCTAGTAATTTCTTCTTTAAGTCATGGATGAAAATGGAGGATTCTGCCATTAAAATTGTTTTAAAAATTCCAGAAATAATAATGGAAACACATTGTGGCAAAGGACAAATGACAGCAGTTAATTATAAGTGGCAAGGTAGCCTATGTGGTTAGGCTTTGTTTCCCTACCGAGATCTCATCTTGTATTGTAATGCCTTAATCCCCATAATCCCCATTTGTCAAGGGAAAACCCAGGTGGAGGTAACTGAATCATGAGGGCAGTTTCCCCCATGGTGTTTTCATAATACTGAGTGAGTTCTCATTAGATCTGATGGTTTTATAAGGGGCTGTTTCTTTTTCATCTGGCACTCTTCCTGCCACCTTCTGAAGAAGGTACCTTGCTTCCCCTTCATCTTCTGCCATGATTGTCAGTTTCCTGAGGCCTCCCCAGCCATGCTGAACTGTGAGTCAATTAAACTTCTTTCCTTTATACATTACCCAGTTTCAGGCAGCTGTTCATAGCAGTATGAAAGCAAACTAATACAGTAAATTGGTACCGCAGAGAGTAGGGTGCTGCTATAAAGATACCTAGAAAGGTCACAGCGACTTTGGAACTGGGTAACAGGCAGAGGTTGAGAACAGTTTGGAGGGCTCAGAAGACAGGAAAATGTAGAAAAGTTTGGAACTTCCTAGAGACTTGTTGAATGGCTTTGACCAAAATGCTGATGGTGATATGGAAAATGAATCCAGGTTGAGGTGTTCTCAAATGGAGATGATGAACTTGTCAGGAACTGGAACAAAGGTGACTCTTGCTATGCTTTAGCAAAAAGACAGGTGGCATTTTGCCCCTGCCCTGGAGATCTGTGGACATTTGAACTTGAGAGAGATGATTTACGGTATCTGGTGGAAGAACTTTCTAAGAAGCAAAGCATCCAAGAAGTGTCTTGGGTGCTCTTAAAAGCATTCAGTTTTATGCATTCACAAAGAGATGGTTTGGAATTGGAATGTATGTTTAAAAGGAAGCAGAGCATAAAGTTTGGAAAATTTTCAGTCTGACAATGAAATAGAAAAGAAAACCCCATTTTCTGAGGAGAAATTCAAGCAGGCTACAGAAATCTGCAAAAGTAACAAGGAGCCAAAACCTCTTTCCTTTATAAATTATCCAGTCTCAGTCAGTTCTTTATAGCATAAAATCAATCAATCAATCAATCAATCCAAACTAAAACAGTGGTCCTAGACCACTTAATAGAAAGAAGAACTAGAGTGGTAATCAGAATGTTTTAACTAAATGGCTTCTTTTTGGTAATGAACTGATAATAGAGACCCTGGAAATGAAATACATAATATATTTTATTGACACCATAGAAAATAATATTGAGTTGTAAAAAAAAGTCCTCACTTGAGTCTACATGGAAATATTAACACTTAAGATAACTAATTCTATAGATGCTTATATCTCCTTTATAATCCCAAATAAAATAATGAAAATTAAATTAAAAATAATAACCCAGAAGAATAATGAAGAACAAGAGATATGATAATAGCAACAAAATTTGAAAGTTGGTTAGTAGATGATTAAGACAGTGTTATCATAGTAGTGGATAAAGCTGCAAGCCCAATTTACAATAAAGTATCCTCAGAAGGCTCCAGAAACAACACAGACAGTTATCTCTGCCATTGGTCTGAGGGAACTGTGTTAAGTAAGGAGACTTGAGTGATTTTTGATTAAAAAGAAGTTAGATTCATGTGTTCCCTTTCCAGTTTATGACACTGGATGACTATATCCCACTACAGTATTCTGGAAAGTTACTTTCTAAATTATGATTCATCACATAAAAGGGAACTTCCATAAGATTATCAGTAAACTTATCAGCAAACACATTGTAGGCCAGAAGGGAGTGAAATAATATATTCAAAAAGCTGTTAGAAAAAAAATAAACCTGTCAAAACATAATATTGTATCTGACAAGGCGCGGTGGCTCATGACTGTAATCTCAGCACTTTAGGAGGCCGAGGCAGGTGGATCACCTGAGATCAGGAGTTTGAGACCAGCCTGGCCAACATGGTGAAACCCTGTCTCTACTAAAAGTATAAAAAAGAAAAAAATTAGCTGGGTGTGGTGGTGGGCACCTGTAATCCCAGCTACTCGGGAGGCTGAGGCAGGAGAATGGCATGAACCTGGGAGGCGGAGCTTGCAGTGAGCTGTGATCAGGCCGCTGCACTCCAGCCTGGGCAACAAAGCGAGACTCGGTCTCAAAAAAAAAAAAAAAACTTAGACTTTTCTACATAATCAAGCCAAAAGTGTTTGTTATCATGTTACCTTCTCTAAAAGAAATGTTAAAGGGAGTCTTTCAAGTTGCAATGAAAGTGCAGTGGAGAGCAACATAAAGTCATATGAAATATAAGATTCTCTGGGAAAATTAAACAAATGGAGAAATACAGTAACCTATACTACAGTAATTTTGGTGTATATAATATAAATAGCAAAGCATTAAAAATGAGAAATGTATGAAAGTGAGTACATAAGATATAAAGATGTAATTTTGACATGAATAACATAATATGTGGGGGTACAGCTGTTAAAGGGAAGAGTTTTTGAATGTTGTTTTCAGTTTAAAATATATTGGTATAACTTTAAGATATTTTATGTAATTGCTATGGTAACCACAAAGAAAATGTCTTTGAACATACAGAAGAGGACATGAAAAGGATATCAAAGTACGGCGCTACAAAAAAATCAATGAATCATAAAGGATGACGGTAAGAGATAAAAGGAGATACAAAAAGCTTATAAGATCTACAGAAAACAATTTACAAAATGGCAAGGGTAAGTCTTTCTCTAATAGTAATTAATTTAAATTTAAGTGGATTAGGCTTCCCAAACAAAAATTGTGGATTGGCTGAGTGGATTTCAAAAAATGAAAACAAAAACAGTATCCAAGTATATGTTGTCTACAAGAGACTCATTTTAGATCTAAGGACACACATAGCTTGAAAGCAAAAAGTTGGGAAAAATCGATCTATTTGTATGATAGCCAAAAGATACCAGGAGAAGCTACATCAGACAAAAATAGATTTAAATCAAACATTTTTATAACAGACAAAATGATATTATATAACAATAAAAGAGTTACTTCACCAAGAAGATGCAACAATTATGAATATTTATATACTAGACCTAAACATATGAAACTATTTTGACAGAACTGAAGTTGGAGATACACAGCAGCATACTAATGGTAGGAGATTTTAATACTACACTTTCAATAGCAGATAAATAAAACAGAAGATAAAGAAAAAAATAGGGGAATTTGGCTGGGTGCGGTGGCTCACACCTGTAATCCCAGCAATTTGGGAGGGCAAGATGGGTGGATCACGAGGTCAGGAGTTCAAGACTGGCCTGTCCAAGATACTGAAACCCCGTCTTTACTAAAAACACAAAAAAATTAGGCGGGCGTGGTGGTGCATGCCTGTAATCCCAGCTACTCGGGAGGCTGATGCAGGAGAATCACTTGAACCCAGGTGGCAGAAGTTGCGGTGAACCAAGATCGCACCACTGCACTCCAACCTAGGCGACAGAGCAAGACTCTATCTCAAAAAAAAAAATAAATAAATAAATAAATAAATAAATAAAAATTAGAAAAAGAAAAAAATAGGGAAATTGAACAATACTACAGTCAAATTGGATGTAACACAGATACACACAACACTCCTCTAAACACCACCAAAATAGACATTCTTCTCAAGTGCCTATGGAACAATCTTCAGGAGAGAGCACATGTTAGGCTACAACACAAGTCTTCACAAATTCAAAAGAAATTGAAATCATATAAAGTATTTTTGACAATAACTATAAAATAAAACTAAAAGTCAATATTATAAAGAAAATGGGAAAATCCACAAATACGTAGAAATTAAACAACATACTCTTCAATGACCAAAAAGTCAAGGAAAAAGACACAAGGAAAGTTGTAAAATACATCGATTATTCTATCTTCTTGGTGAATTAGCCAAATGAGAAGGAAAATGCAACATAGCAAATTATGGAATGAAGTAAAAATAGTACTAAGAGGAAAGTTTATAACTGTGAATGTATACAAAAAGGGAGCTAATATCAATAACCTAAATTTACTCCTTAAGAAACTAGAAAAAGAGGAATAAACTGAACCCAAAACTTCCAAAAATCAGAAGGAAGGGAACAATAAAGAACAGAGATTAACAAAATTGAGAGTAGAAAAACAATTAAAAATTCAATGACACTAAGAGTTTTTAAAAATATAAACATAATTGACAAACCCTTAATTATATTAACTAAGAAAAAAAGAGAGAAGACTCAAAAAAAAAAAAAACCTCAGAAATGAAAGAGGAGATAATATAACAGATGCCACCAAAATAAAATGGACAATCGGAGAATGTCATAAACAATTGTATGCCAATAATTTGAATAGCCTAAAAGAAATGAGTATATTCCTAGAAACAGTCAACCTACCAAGACTGCATCAAGAAGAAATAAAAAATCTGGACAGACTAATAATGTGTAAGGAGATTGAATCAATGGCCAAAGATCTCCCTACAAAGAAAAGCTAGGACCAGATGGCTCTACTGAATAATTTTATCAAACATTTAAGGAAGAATTAACACCAATTCTCCTCAAACTCTTTAACAAGTTTAAACAGAAACACTAGCAAGTTTGTTATATAAGGTCAGAATTACCTTGATACCAAAGCCCAAGATGCTGCAAGCAAAGAAATCTAGAGACCAATATTCCTTAGAAATACTGATGCAAAAATCCTCAATAAAATGTTAGCAAGCCCAATTTAGCAGCATATTACATGGATTATACACCATGACCAAGTGGGATTTATTCCTGGAATGCACAGGTGTTTCAAGATACAAAAATCAATCACTGTAATACACACAAACATAATGAAGAAAAAGAATCCGCATCATAATGTCAATTAATGCAGAAAAAGCATTTGACAAAATTCAACACCCTTTCATGATAAAAACCAACTACAGATAACTGGAAACAATTTCAACAGGATGAAGGCCATTTATGAAAAACCCACAACCGTCATACTCAATGGGAAAGACTGAAGGATTTTCCTCCAACATTAGGTACAAGGCAAGAATTCCCACTCCGCCACTTCTATTCACCATACTATGGGAAATTCTAACCATAACAATTAGACAAGAAAAAGAAATAAAAGACATCTAAACTGGAAAGGAAGAAGTAAAATTATCTCTGTTCATAGATAGCACAATCTTATAAGTAGGAAATTAGAAAGAAACACTCCTCCCCAACAATAATGACAACAACAACAACGACAACAACAAAACCTGTTAGAACTAATAAACAAATACAGCAACATTGCCAGGTGCAAAATCAACATGAAGAAATCAGTTGCATTTCTGTACATGAATAGTCATCAATCAGTAAAGGAAATTAACAAAACTATTTTATTGTAATAGAGCAACAGAGAAAAAAAATACTTACATGTAAATCTAACCAAGAAGGTGAAAGACTTGTGTGCTGAAATCTACAAAATATTTTTAAAAGAAATTACAGAAGCCACAAATATATAGAAAGATATACCAGGTTCATGGCTTGGAACACTAACATAGTTAAGATGTCCATAGTATCCAAAGCAATCTACAGAGTCAATACAACCTCAATCAATTTCTCAACAGCAATTTTTTGCAAAAAAGGAAAAAGTTAACCAAATATTTATTTGGAATTTTGTGGGGCCCAAATTAGCCAAAACAAGAAAAAGAGTAACTAAGCTGGAGTGCTCATATTTCCTGATTTCAAAACATATTATGAAGCTGCAGTAATCAAAAAGGTATTGTACTGACATAAAGACAAATAGACCAATAGAATAAAACAGAAAGCCCAGAAATAAAGCTACTCGTATGTGGTAAAATGATTTGACAAAGATACCAAGACCATTCAATAGGGAAAGGAAAATCTATTGATGAATTAGTGTTGGAAAAACTGTATACTACATGTAAAAGAATGAAGTTGGACTCTTCCTTCACATCATATACCAAATTTAATTCAAAATAAATTAAAACCCTAAACATAAAAATTAAAACTATGAAATTTCTAGGGGAAAAGCTCCTTAACATTAGACTTGGCAGTGAATATATATAGCACCAAAACCTCCGGCAATAAAAATAAAAATAGACAAATGGACCTCCATTAAACTTTTGTGTATCAAATGATAGAATTAACAGAATAAAAGATAATCTATGGAATGAGAGAAAGTATTTACAAATAATATATCTGCTCAGGGACTAATATTCAGAATTTGTTAGAAACAACATCTCAACAATAAAAGACTCAAGTAACCCAATTTAAAAAATGGTGGTTCAAAAACTTGAATAGGCATTTCTCTGAAGATAATATGCAAATGATCAACAAGTATATGAGAAAATGTTCAACATCATTACTCATCAGAGGAATGCAAACCAAAATCACAATGAGATAGCACTTCATATCCATTAGGATATCTACTATAAGAATAAAAAACAAAAACCAAACAAAACAAAAGAAAAATCCAGAAAAAAATCGGCAAGAATGTGGAGCAATTAGTACACTTGTGTACTCTTGGTGAATTGCAAAATG
Organism: Homo sapiens; assembly: GCF_000001405.40. Lineage (NCBI taxonomy): Eukaryota > Metazoa > Chordata > Mammalia > Primates > Hominidae > Homo > Homo sapiens. Next base: position 85,104,247 of record NC_000013.11, read on the forward strand.
GTGCAACTGCTGTGAAAAACAACATGGAGTTTTCTCAAAATATTTAAAATAGAACTACTATATGAAACAGCAATCTTACTTCTGGGCATATATCCAAAACATTTTTGAAAGCATGGTCTCAAAGTATATTTGCACACCCATATTAATGATAACACTAGTAACAATAGCCAAGTGATAGAAGTAACTCAAATGTTGATTAGCAGATGACTGGATAAACAAAATGTGGTATATGCATGTAACAGAATATTATCAAGCCTTAGAAACAAAGGAAATCTTGTGAGATGCTACAACATGGATGAACCTTAAAAACATTATGCTAAGTGAAGTAAGTAGAACACAAAAAGATAAATACTGTACAATTCCACATATATGAGATATCTAAAGTAGTCAAATATATAGAGACAGAAAGTAGAATGGTGCTTACCAGTGACTGGGGAAAGAGGGGAAAGATGAGTTGTTTATTCTTAACGGGTATAAAGTTTCAGATTTTCAAGCTAAAATAATTGCAGACAACTATTTCACAGTAATTTGCATATACTTAACATTACTGAACTGTGCACTTCAAAAAAGTCAAGATGATACGTATTATGTTATGTATTTTTTAAGCAAATAAAAATTTCTGAAGTGAAATTCTTTACAATTTATTATTTTAAACTCATCTGTACTATCAATTAATCAGCTGAGAGTGTAGAATAAAGGCTTTTTATTATTATTATTACTTTTTTTTTGAGACAGAGTCTCGCTCTGTTGCCCAGGCTGGAGGGCAGTGGCGCGATCTCAGCTCACTGCAAGCTCCACCTCCCGGGTTCACGCCATTCCCCTGCCTCAGCCTCCCGAGTAGCGGGAACTACAGGCGCGCACCACCACACCCATCTAATTTTTTGTATTTTTAGTAGAGACAGGGTTTCACTGTGTTAGCCAAGATGGTCTCGATCTCCTGACCTCGTGATCCACCCGTCTCGGCCTCCCAAAGTGCTGGGATTACAGGTGTGAGCCACCGCGCCCAGTGGAATAAAGGCTTTTTATACATGATCACACACAAATTAATTCAAACAGATCCTTTCAGAGCAAACTCTTGGAAGATTTATTTTCCAAGACAGGCATGAAACAGAATACACAACACCCCAAAATGGAACCTGTAATACAGGAGTTAGAAAATAGGAATCCTCAGACTGATAGAGAAGGTAATATGTCTTTAGGATAGCTATGTACTAAGATTAAAGAGGTCCAAAACTTTGTAATCAAAACCAGAGCATGGCTCACAAGATGTTTCTAGTTCCTCCAACAATGGGCTATGATGAAGAGTTCTAAGATGGGGATTTGAAGTGGTCCAGATTTCTGTGAACATCTAAAATGACAAAGAAAAACTAAGAAATAAAAGTGAGCAATTTTATTTTGAAGGAAAATGAGCTTGACAAAGACAATAAATCTGCATTCACCTTCCCCACAATAAAATCCTTTTAAGAGTGGTAGGAGGAACTTGAATATGAATTCACATGATCAATTTACATACTTACTGCATTAAAAGAAATTAAACTTTGTGACAGCACTTTTGTATAACTAGAATAAAGACAGTAAGAAGAGAAGCAGGCACTCCAAATCAAACACTATATAATTCAACAGAATTATCTGGGCTTTGGCCAAGTAGAACATGAACACAGTATGTTGATCATTTTGTTAGCTTGATTTTGAAAATGTTTCTTTCATCACACTAAGGACCAGCCTGCCTACTAACTTCACAAACATCAGCAGGTACTAACGGTGCTAATGTTTGGCTATTTTTTTTTAATATGCAACCTACAGAGGTTTGCTGTTTTTGTTATTTTCAAGAATGCGTTCTAAAAATATATATTTATCCTATATCCAAAAGTGAAGTAAAGGTGATGGTGAGATGAGATTTGTAAAGAACAAAAGGAGCAAACATCCTGATGTGCATTAAAACCAGTGATTCAGAGTCATTATTTTGTTTGATATTTGCTATAAGAATACAGTAGCTAATACTAAATTCAACTGATTGTGACAGATCCCTTTAGATTAGTTGCATACAGGTTATTTTGAGAGTCATCTCCCTTAAATTTTTTCCTTTAACAACTTTCTTTTTGCCCTTATTTTAACAAGATGGATGGCATATTATGATCTCTTTCCAGTTCCTAAGCTCCAGCAGGAAGCTTGCTTGCAGCTGGAATTAGTAATGTGCTGATGCATCCCAGGACTTTCTTCAGTTACATGTGGCACTTCAAAGGATGTTCAAAAAGACCAATAGAAAGGATCCTGGGACAGCATCAGAATGGCAAAGAGATCAACAAGTGAGGTGCTGTCTTTGAAGAAACACATGTAGCAGTAGACGTCAGAGCTTTGGTACATGTGGTATATTTTACTTGAAAAGTCAACTTAATGTACAAAGAGGAATCTGGGAAGAATTAGAGTCCCAAAGAGCCTGCTTCATTTAGATGGAAAATAATTTTCTTTGTTATTTAAGTGTATACAGCAGAACCCATTATGATATTTACATTTAGGAAGTATAGCACAAAAAAAGAAAGACAAAAAGAGAATAAAGAGAAAGTGATTCTGGAAAAATGGCTGAGAGCATATACTCTTCACTTTTAAATAAATAGGCTCTTTTCATTCCAAAATACAGAAGTGCCAATAATACCAAAAATAGCTTTATTATTTACTTGAAAATAAAGCATTGTATCATAGTCTGTATTCTCTATAATGTCTATCTTATCTTCTGGTAATTATTTAATGGGGAAAAGGTGGATTAATCTTCCTGGGCCACTAACCAGAATTTCACCCACTATAACTAAATTTTTACACGTCTGCACCTCGTTCCTGACTTAGTAATCATACCATGTCGGTAGAAGACCATAACACCAAATCTGCTCAAAAAGAGATGTGTTCAAACCAGTTACCTGGCTTTGGACAATTAAGCAAGTCATTGCTTTTTATCAGTAGATTTGTTTAGATCAAATAGTGTAAACAGTGCCTTTGGAGAAATATTAGCTCAATCTGCGTGAGAGTTCATAAACTGAAAAGTTGTAGTGAAGCATGGACTATGGTACAAAGGATGAACTATGGACTGAAAACTATGTTTTCAGTTTTTTAAAAGATGAAGTACATGACATAGACATATTGATAAAGACAGCACATTAATTTACATTTATTAATAAAACATATATTTATTTTCCCACTATCTACCTTAAAATATAATACATCCTTGTAATCACTCAAGCTGTGCCTGAGTTACTCATCTGTATCTCATCTTCCCTTCCCTCTAAGAAGTAACTATTACTCTCAATTGGTGTTCTTGTGTAACTTTGGTATGCTTTGTAGGCTTGTTATAAATGCATTTATCCCTAAGCAATGCAATGCTACTTTTAAGTTTGCTACAAATATCATATGTCTTCTGATGACTCCATTTCTTCTATTCTGATTCGAAACACTTCCTCAGAAAAAGTCTCACATGTTGTTATATACACACGTGTGTATGTGCATGCATGTGTGTGTGTATTCCTTTTTCAGATCTTAATCTTGTGGCACATTGTTTCTTTCTAAGTTATGAATAGCCTTCCTATTTTCTAGCCTATAATATTTCAACATCTCTAGAATTAAGCCAATTACTACTACTCCAAACACTCACATATTTGGAGTCACATTGTTTTGAGAGCATACTTTGTATGACAAGTGAGAACATTGAGGTAGAGTTGTAATAAATGGTTTGTAAAAACGACACAGACACAGAGTTCTAGTGTTTTGGATACATTGATTCAGCTCACTTTATGACCACCATCACTTCTGTATTATCATCAGCTTTATTTACTATTCTTTCCACTATGAGATTAAGATTTGGGAATATAAGACACAAAGACAAATGTCAAGACAATAATATTTCTCTATGAAATTAAAACCTATTCTATGCTTCTCCCCTGCTTTATATAATATGTTCATGGGGAATCTGGAGTGAATTTGCATATAATATATAATACTTATTTGAGAAATTAATGCCCTCAGAAAAGGAGCCCTCTCATTTTAACCAAATTAAATCATCGATCTTACTGGAGTCTACATCTAAACTTCCTCTCTACAGATACAGTGGAAGAATTATCTTTACTTCTGACACAAGATTTTTTGGTGCCCCTTCGCCAGCCAGAGACTTCAGTGGCTGGCAATGACCCTGCCTGGGCCTCAGTCAGCCCTGGGCTTGCCACAGGAAGCACCATGCCCAGTTGGCCCAAAGCACTGCACCTGGCTTACACTTCTGCCCAGATCCCATGCTTACCACAGAATCTGCACTCAGCCAGCAGCTGGGCCAGGCATGCCCCGACCTGCCTCCGCCCTGTGCACCAGCATCTAGATGAGGGAATCACATGGTGGCTGAACAGGTATGCCAGCACTCCAAAGCTCCAAAGGAGATGTTACAGCATGTTAATAGCCCTTTCAGTCCCACCATTTGCAGCCTGGCTAATGGGAGTGTGCTAATAGCTCTTTCAGTCCTGTGGCCCCCACTCCAGCCTGCAGCTCTGGGGCTGGCCCAGCCTCACTGCAGCTTCCCATTGCATGGGGTGGCTGCCAAGCACCAATGGAGGACAGAGGACTACAGTGTTACTGCCTTTTTCATACCTACATTCTATGGGTCCTGAGTTCTTGTCTGTCATCCAAGAAGAATGAGGTTATGCTGATAGCTGAAGGGTGAACAGGGGAGAGAGTTTTACTGAGCAACAACTCTCAGCAGAGAGGGGATATGGAGAGGGCAATCTCCTACTCCACCTTAAGTCAGGAAGCTGCCCCTGTTGCCTGAAGGCAGGCAATCCCAAAGTGTGGCTGAGTCCAGGGCTTTTATAGGCTCAGAATGGGAGAGTGCATGCTGATTGATAGGTTTGTGAGTATGCAAAAAAGGCTAAAACAAAGGCACCACTCAGAGGTGGGCATGACAGTGTAAAAAAAAACAAAGAAGGGTATGTGCAGGTAAAATTGGTGAAAGGTGGGGATCAATCAGAGGAAAGTGCACCAAATGGGAAGAGAGGTTGTCAATCTGGTCTGTGGATTTATCTGAGATTTGTAGCTTGGCGTTCAGGCTTTAAACTGTCTTTGGGTTGTAGGTGGAGTTTCACAGGGGGCCCATCCCTATCTGCCTAGGGTTTGTCTGCCTTCTGCTGCTATCAGTTCTAAGATCAGTCCCCCACTATAGGCAAAAGTATTTTTTGCTCACATAACATCTTAATTTAGAAAATCCCACTTAGATATTTTAAGTTGATATCTTAAGTGTTTCACTATGGGTTTAAATAGTTGAGAAAGTGATATTTATGAGATATTAACAATATTGATATATTTTTTAAAACTAAATATCTTTTAAAAATGTACAGTGAAATTTCAGTGATATAATTTTATACTAATTATTATGTATTTGAAAACTGTATGAGGCATTTTCTTTAACATTCCTATATTTTGCACCATTTTTCTCATAAAACTTGTATATATACATTTCACTTTCACTTTCTCAATGGAATTCTATACTTTTTCAACAAATTAATTTGTATATGTGTATTTACAAGGAATATGGTATGTGAATATAAAATATTTTCCCATGTAACATATAAGTTGAATGAATATAAGTTGAAAATTTGTGAATTGATTTGTCTTTTTTACCTCAAGATTGAGGTAAAAAGATGTATTGATTTATTCTTATTAACTCACAATTTATCAAAACAGCATAGCTAAATTGCAATTTAGTAAACAGTTGTTAAACATAATATTTTATTGGAAATTCACATTGTAAAAAGATGAATGTGGTTATTATTTTCCAAGTGGTTCATGTTTCATGCATCCTTGAAATAATGTGACACTGCCATTGATAAAACTGTTACAATTTATGATCTGTTTTTCAATATCTATAAATGTTAACAAACTCTATACATGTCACAAACATATTTCTATACACATATACATAATTAAACAAGGGGCTATGTATTATATGAATGTTAGTCAATAATTTAAATACACTTTTTAGTTATACAATAAAATTCACATGGTGATCTATCATCAAATGTTATTTCTCATGTTCTATCAGCTTATGACATAATTAGGTCCTTAATTTTTTTGAATGCAAATAATTGGACACCATTTCACCTCAAAGACTTTTTTTTTTTTTAATGATTAGAATTATCCTCTTTTAGGAATTCTGGAAAATTTCCCAAACTGATTTACTGAGACTTTCAAAATGTTTTTTACATAGCTCTGTCACTCAAAGGTGCATGTTGAAACCAATCAACAATAAATTTTAGTTCAACCGAAATATTTTGTACTACATTATATACTATTAAAATCTTTTTATTAAATATTATTGTATTTTGTGTGCTATAAATATACTTTTATCAAACCTGGAATTTTCTATTTAACCCATTCAACATATGGGCCATAGCTACCAAACCTCAAACACTTCATCTAAAACAAAGCTGCTTTCTAACACAAAATGACTAAATTGATTGATTGATTGATTGATTGATTGGTATATGGTCTTGCTGTTTTGCCCAGGCAAGAGTGTAGTGGTACAATCACAGCTCACTTCAGCCTCAACCTCCTGGACTCAAGTGATACCCCCGTCTCAGCCTCTTGAGTAGCTGGGACAACAGGCACGCACACACCACCATGATCAGCTAATTTTTTTTTCTTTTGTAGAGATGGGGTTCTACCATGTTTCTTAGGTTGGTCTGGAATTCCTGGGCTCAAATTATCCATCTGTCATGCCGTCCCAAAGTGCTGGGATTACAGGAGTCAGCCATCATGCCCAGCCCAATTAATTTATTTTAATATACTTGTTATATTGTGGAGAGGGCAACCCCTACTTTACCCAAAGTCGGGTAGCTGCCCCCGTTGCCCAAAGGCAGGCAATCCCAAAGTGCGACTGAGTCCAGGGCTTTTATAGGCTCGGAATGGGAAAGTGTATGCTGATTGATTGGTTTGTGAGTATGCAAAAAAGGCTAAAACAAAGGCACCACTGAAAGGTGGGCATGACAGTGAAAAAAAAAAAACAATTAAGGAAGGGTAGGCCCATTTTAAAAGGAGCTTATTAAAAACAAGAAATGAATTCTAGAGCAAAAATTATATGATGAATAATTAAAATCTAGCAATATTGAAACCACTTAGATATAATATAAATAATAATTCTAGTAATGTTTTACATAAACCTGAGAAATATTGTTTGACATTATTAAAACAAATAATTTTGCATGATGTGTGCCTAAAATGAGAAAAGAAAGATAGGATTAAAGTCATTGATTGTTTTTCTATATGTATATATTTGTGCACACATCATTACTTGAGCATATATTTAATTTGTTTCTAATTTTGGAAGTAATTGAATAGTAGGCAAAAAATCATATTTTTCTATAGATAAAATTAGACTTATAATAAACTTTTCCTGTAGATGTATTGAATGAGAAAGATATATTTAGTTAGGAAACAAATCAATATACTGTTAATCTATAAATGCTTGTGATATTTGTTTCTTAATGAGGTAGAATTTAATAAATATTTTTCCAAGAAAAATAAATTCACTGAAAATAAAATAGACATTTTATTGTTTTGTATAGTATAAAATGCTTTAAATCCCTTAGTGAAAAATATTCAGTGACATCTAAACTTACTACAGTCTTCCCCTCACACACCATACATTGGTAATTGTCCCATGTAGCTTGAAATTTTGGTAGTCTTGAAAACCTTTAGTTATTTCTAAAAAATCAGCATAACTTTTAGATCTTTGGGAGAGTTTTTCTTTCAAGTTAATAACACATTCTAGGGCTGAAAATTGAGAATACATAAAAAGAGTAGGTTTTGCTCGAGCACAGGAATAAAACCATTTTTAACATTCATTGTCCCTTACAGATATTTTTTGTTGCACTAGTCAAACTCTCAAGGAAATATTTCTCAAACATGATTCATATCACACTATCTGACATTTTTCTTCTTAAATTGAAATAGTTGTAAAGGAATCAATAGTAGGAGAATATAAAATATATTTAAGGAAAGTGTTTTCCATTTTATTCCTACCTATATCTTAACTCACAACACCTCAACATGGATGAATACGCCACTTTTCTAAATGCCAGGCTTCACTTTACTAGAGATAGATCAGATAGATGATAGATAGAAAGGTAGATAGATTGGTAGATAGATAGATTAGATAGATAGATAGATAGATAGATAGATAGATAGATAGACAGACAGAGAAAGAGAGAGAGAGAGAAATGTAGATGGAACATGAAGAATGAGAAACTTTAGACTGAAATATTGAATTATCGTTAGATAGCCTTGCTATTTGTTACTCCAGAAGTAATCCACCACAGGATAATGCACTACATTAAGATTTTGAATGATGCCATTCTTTTGGGAACAAAAAAGTGTATCCTGAGTATAGATAAATTTTTCAGCGACATCGCTTTAGAAAAGTTCACATGAAAATTGAGTTGCTGAAAATTGATTCCTTTAAAACTGTCGATGCTAAAATTCTCCTTGGCAATCTTTTAACCACCCAGAGGAAAATGAGTTCCCTAATGTACAAAAGCATACTGAAACCCATCTTTTTGCCACTGTAAGAATTTTCACTTTATCAGATCTCTATGTGTCTTCTGCATCATCCATCCCTTTTCTCTTCTGGCTCATATTAATCAGCATAAATAGATCTTCTAATATAGGAATATAACACGTCTTCCTCAACTTCCAAAACAGAAAAACTGATAAGATCTAAAAAGGAAAAAAAAAAAGCTTTCAAACCAGATCTGAATTAATGCAAAGTCACTTACATTCTTTATCTTACTTAGAATGAATATCTTTACATTTTGTTGCTGAAATATTAATACATTTTATTAGAGTGTTACTTTAGACTCATTAAAGGTGTTTCATGATACACAGCTTATAAAGCGTATTATTAACTTGACACCTGACCAATTCAAGTTTCTGAATTATATCTGTCCCAAAGATTTCAGAAAAGTGTTGTGAAACTGCATTCCATAAAAACTAAGCATACAAACTAAAATACATCTTTTGAGTCCTTATAACACTCTGAATTGAATTATGTTCTCTGTTATTCAAATATTATCTTTTATTTTTTTCCTGCATCCTTCTCTACTTCTACATCCTTCTCTACTTCTCTACTTCTACATCCTTTCCTGCATCCTTTCTCTACTTCTTAATTTTATTTAACTATGCAAGTGTCCAAATTTTGGGTTCTTTTCCCTCAGGTCTTTTTGGGCACAAGTTGTTGTTTGTTTTACATATGTGTGTATATTACACACATTACATATATACACACACAGATGTGTGTACGTACATCTGTGTGTGTATATTACACACATAAATATATGTATGCATATGTATGTATGTACATATGTGTGTATATGCCACAATTTTTCTAATTATTCTTGCCATAATTATTCTAATACATTTTTACATTTTGAATGCAATCAACATGCTCAAAGGTCTCGCCTGACAGTTCAAACTTCTGCTTCGGACTTCCAATATAGTTTTCAAATTTAACAATTCCAAACTGACCCTTTGCATGGCTCTGTTATTCTCTTCACACATTTCATGGTTGGATGTTTGGTTGACCCCATTTTTCAACTTGTGTCTCATTTTCTCAGAAAGGCATTCCCAGACCACCCTAAAAACCCTCTGTCATATTCAAATAGAGCATTCTAAAAACAATCCATTATAGCATTATACTATTTGCATTTATGTTATTTATTTTGATCATGCCTTTATTCCCATGAGTTCAGGAAACATGTCTGTTCTGTTTAATATTACATCTCCTTGATACATTACTAGAAGATAAGGAGGTGTTCTATAAATGTTTCTTAAAGGCTGGGCACAGTGGCTCACACTTGTAATCAATCACAGCACTTTGTGAGGCCGAGGTAGGAGGATCACTTGCTCCCAGGGGTTTGAGACCAGTCTGGGCAAAATGGCAAGACTCTATCTCCACCAAAAAAAAAAAAAAAAAGAAGAAGAAGAAGAAAGAAATATATAAAAGAAAAGAAAATTAGCCAGGCATGGTGGCAGCAGGTGCCTGTAGTCCCAGCTACTCAGGAGGCTGAAGTCAGAGGATAACTTGAGCCCAGAAGGTCAAAGCTGCAGTGATCCATGATCATGCCACTGCACTCCAACCTGGGCAAGAGAGTAAGATTCTGTCTCAAAAAATAAATGAATCTAAAAATAAATAAATGTTGGTTAAATGCTAAATAGTTGTTGAAGAAATGGAAGAAATGTATCAATATAAACAGGACTATCTGGTACCTTTATACTTAAGGAAATATTTCAAAAATAATCATTTTTATAAAACTTAGGATCTTTTACCCTTAAAAAATTCACTTTGCTCATTTTTTTGAATACATTGAATATTCGTAAGACTTTAAAAAATTGTGGGCCTCTAAAAATAATTTTTCTTAGGTGATAACCTCACTAATGCTCTAAAATTTAAGTAAATGTAGAAGACTAATTTTATATTTTGTTATGTAAAATTGACCTTTTATGGCTAATTTCTTCACTTGCTACTTTAAAATCACATAATTAATTTTATTTAATTATAGCAGTTAAATTTAATAGCTAATTATAACATCATATCTTTTCACATTTTTCTACTTAATTGGAAGTAACAACCTTCTTAAGCCTTTGGAGTGGAAACACACACACATTCAAGCAGAAATACACACTTGACTGATGTACTTCTGAAAGCTATTTCTAACAATAAAATAGCACTAAATCTGATAATTTTTTACTTCTGCATGTCATGTCATAGATGTTGAAGATGACTCAGGAAATTGAAATTGCAATTTGACTGAAATGTCCAATTAGATGCAATTAAATCAGAGTGTTTACATCAAAAGACATGAAAAGAGTAGATTCTTTCCTACCTACTCTGCATTCCAGAGAGGATAAGGATATATCAAAACCACTGGTGTATTACAGAGATCTATACATTCTGTATCTTCTCCACAAATTCTTCCTAACATTGTTTTCCATGGAAGACTTTGGCTAAAGAACTCCCCAAAGATGGAATAGCCTTTAAAAAAAGGCAGAGGGTCTGTAAAAATTATTTTTAAAACAGGAAAAATACAAAAATACTAATGAATAATTATTCAGAAGCAATAAGTAATAGACATTTGGAAATTGGAGTTAATAGGTATTTCTGCAAACTCTACATTAAGAGAAATATATTGTTCATGAGTTTTTCTTTTTCATACATTTAGAGTAGTATTTTCTTGTTACATCTTTAATATTAGTATTTTCTGTGCAAACAAATGCTCTTTGAAATGATGGATTTATTTCCTTATGCACTGTACATAGAAATATGCAGAATTTTTATATAGAATATATATTTTAGAAAAATAAAAGTACAGAATGAATATTAAAGTTAATTAGGAAATAAGCTATTTTTTAAAAAGTTTTACTTCTTAATAGGAAAGTAGCTATATTCTAGATTTATTTATATAGTATTAAGTTGATGCAAAAGTAATTGCAGTTTTTGCCATTACTGTCAATGGCAAAAACTGAAATTACTTTTACATAAACATAAAACTTGTCAGCATAGGCTCTATGAACAGTATTATCAGATTAAATGAAATTCTTCATGTATAAGCACAGTGTATGTGTGCGATTTGTTTTTCATTTCTAGCCCAAAGGTTTTTAAATTTTTTTTTTGTAAATAAAAATACCCTGGTTAGATTCATGCTGCAAACCATCCACTGACAAACTACACTTCCCTGGGGCCATAGTCTGAAATATTTAAACTCAATACTTGTATATAAACCAACCACGCTGCCTAGGCCTGTATTCAATAAGTGGTCCATTTTGCTGGTTATATTGCTTGCAATATGCTTTCTTAAATTGGCCATTCCTCTATAGAGCTCCTCAAACATGTTCCAGGAATGCACCCTCAGCAGTAAGGAGGGGGAATGGAAAGCTAGCACAGCACAATATGGTCTACCTCACCTGCTTAGAGTGCAAAGTCAAAACATACTTAGATCTTCATAATTCATTCTTAACATTTATGCACATGTACTCTCTATGTCCTACTTTGTTTTAATGTTCAGTGTTTCTCCCAAAAATCTTTGAGTAAACTTGATGTTCTGAACAGTTATGTCACAGTAAGTTTAATACAATCCCAGTTATTACTATCAGCAACATTTAAAAATGGTTGTGGGGTGGGGGGAGGGGGGAGGGATAGCATTAGGAGATATACCTAATGTTAAATGACCAGTTAATGGGTGCAGGACACCAACATGGCGCATGTATACATATGTAACTAACCTGCAAGTTGTGCACATGTACCCTAAAACTTAAAGTATAATAAAAAAAATCCAGTAAAAGATACTTTAATGAAAATACGAACTACTGATAGATTTTTGTAATTGTTGTTTAAAATAGATGATTGCTTGCCCTAGATATTAAAGTAAAAAATACCCCAATATTAGTATTAGCAATTCCTTGAATCTCTTTGCAAAAATAAATAAATAAATAAAGCACTATTTTTAACTGCTAGCTTAGAGCAGGGAGCTACTTCTATGTGATAATTAATTCTGACATTAAATTATTTAGTATAAGTTAGAAAAATTTTGAGACAGCTTAAAATAGTATGTATAGTTGATGTGTCCAGAACTTCTATTCATCAGCCTTAGTTTAATATACAACATTTATATGCACTCTACGTACCAAGCAGTGTTGTTTATGTGAACATAGAGAAGAGAAGAGCACGAGGGAGAACTGGTCATAGAAAAGCGCTGAAATGGGTGGAGACCAACACTCTCTATGCAGCTATTACATGAACTTCTTTCAATAAATTGGATCTTTTACACTGTCAAATTTGCTTGGCAAGGAAAACATTCTTCTTATCAAAAAATAGCACAAAATAAATCACTGGAAATTTACTCAATTAAAGAAAAAAATCCGATATACCTTTTTGTCAATCTCCATTTTCATTCAGCCACAATTATTTAGGATGTAAATTGCTTCTCAATGTATTTTGTCATTGCAAAGACACACTTCTAAGCCTTCCAGCGGTAATATTAAAAATGCTGGTATTACGACCTGAAAATGTTCAGAATGATGCAAAATTAACACATTCCCAAATACCCTAGCATAAAGGAAAAGAAAGCCATCTGCAGAAAAGCAGAAAATGATGCAGGAATAGGGATGATGGCATTCATTGCACCCCAGTTTTTTCTTCCTACACACACACACACACACACACACACACACACACACACACACTTCCTAGTAATGGTTCATGCTGACAGTAAGGACATAAATATAAATTTATTAAAAGATTAATAAATTTATGCTCTTACATACTAGTGTACCAGACACAAGTAGAAACAAAGGTAACACAGTGCAATTGAGGAGCTGGAGAATATTTTTTTCTACCAGAAATTGTTTTTAAAAATTTATTTTATTAAAAAATTATCCTACTCTTTTGATACAGTGTCTGCCTATACTTGAAAAACAGAATTGAGTCAAGATATGCTAAATGCCATGGCATATAAACCATTGGCACACTTGATCTTAGCTGTAATAGCAGTCCAAACATTAATGGTGATGGATGTGGGTAGGTAGAAATTTCCATCATTTATCACTGGAGTCTCTTAGTGTGTGTAATGTTCAGGAAAAAAATATTTAAACTGATAGTTTGGGGATAGTGTAACTTTGAAAACAGATCAGGCATGTTTATGAGAGCGAAGAGGTCCTTAAAGGCAATGGAGAAGCCACATCATATTATTTGGAATTAATTATGTGTGTATACATATATACCCACAACATATATACACATATAATTAATTCCCAGTAACACTACTTATGGTGCTATATATATTATGGTATAATATATAATGATTATTTAGTTATATATAATACCTATATGGTACATTGCAATAATTGTGCAATAGGTATGCTTATTGCTGTTAGGCCCTCTCAGATGACAGAGCTACAATATATATGTATATAACCCTTGTATATACATGCATGTATAAATATTTCTATATGTACTTATCTGTATCTATATTAAGCTCAGAATGAGTTTAATTGCTTCCAATTCTAACCCTCTACCACACAGATCATTCAAAACTTCTCTCATTTCAAAGCTATAGCTATAGCTTTGGAAAAAGGGATTCTTGGAGAAATGGCTTAATCTAGGATGGGGCAAGACTGTACAAGATGAGCATTTTATAGTGACATAAAGTAAGACTTACTCAAGATAAAATGGATAAAGTTATATCAACAGGACACAGAAACCAACTGACAGAGCCCCCAGTGTCCAAAATTGGAACAATTCAAGCATGAAAATAAATAAAATTCAATAATACCTCAAGTCATATAAATAAATATCCATGAGTTAGTAGTAATATGAATACATATTTTAAATAAATAAATAAGGAAGAATGGACAACTCTCTATTGCAGAAATCAGAAACATTCCAAATAATATATTCATATACTCTGCCCAAAATAAGTGAACAAATAACTCTACACTCTTAATTGTTGGTTGTTCATAGTGACTTTTTTACAGAGTGAAATCAAAAGGGATAACCAGAAAGAGAACCTGCTTCACACATCAGTTATCCACCTTTCTCAGAGAATGCAGCCAACAACTCACTGTCACTGGGTCAGATGACTGTCAATGAATGCATAAAGGATAGAAAAATGGACAAATTCTGGGTGTACTTCATGCACATGCACTAGAGCTGCCCATGGGTGGATTCAGGCAAGTAAGACCTCATTCTTGCTTAGATATATGCATCTTTTCTATCCTACTACTTCTACTCCTTGTGTCCAGACAGCACTTAAAAAATATCTTGCACAAGGATACTCATTTCTGGCCATGGTTCTAAAAATCCAAACTAAAACATAAGAAAAAACTCTGGCCCATTCTTAAAAGCAGAAGTTAATGAAGTTTAAAATTCAGAGCCCCTCACTTGTACATGTCCCTTCAGTCCTATGAGAGGGACACTAGTAATGTGTTAAAGTGATTGTATGGTTATATAAAAATCTATAATAAAAGTACAATAATTATACAATATTGGGTAAAACTGCAGTGTCTTTTCACTCTAACTTCATTGACAGTATCCTCTCACCCCATAAGGGAACCTACTGCATTTTTGAGAACCAAGGTATTACTACTATTACCACACATTGCACCAACTCACTTAGCATTGCATTGTGTAACTAAGGGGTATAGGTTGGAGGGTGACATAAATGGGTTCTTTTGCACTGGGGTTGCAAGTGGAAATATGTCAGTATAAAAGGAAAACAGTGTTTAAAATGTATAAAACCAGCATTAACATGTGGAGAATTCTTCTAACTATAAAACTGCAAGAATTTGGAACTTTGTCAAAGGCTAGTGATTTAAAAAAGCTCCATTCTCAGCCTAGATAATATAGCAAGACTCCATCTCTACATTTTTTTAATTACTCAGGCATGGTGGCATGAGCCACCAGCTGGGCATGTAGTCCCAGCTACTCAGGAGGCTGAGGCAGGAAGATTGAGCCCAGGAGGTTGAGGCTGCAGTAAGACAACCTGCCACTACTGCACCCCAGCCTGAGCAACACAACAAAGCCTAGTCTCTAAAAACAAAAAACCCCTCTATTCTGTCGGGTCAATGTTCAATAATAATGGTGCATTATTATATAATGCCATTATAACACCATATATGCGTGTGTGTGTGTGTATGTGTGTGTGTATACATATTTACTTTCTTTTTTTTTGATGGAATCTCATTACAATGATTAGAATTTTGTATACATGCAGTGCAAACCTGCTCCATTCCTAAAAACTGGAAGGACGTCAGTAAGTCACACACTTCGCCTATCCCAACTATTTAGAATAAAAACAAATTTCAATCAACCGTGCTAAAGGAAATACTAAGTTACTTTTCTTCTACAGATCATAATATTAAAAATAAACGAACTGAAAATGAGATTGAAGAGTATTCAGGAATACAACATTAGAAAAAGAGTACTGTAGAATCATGTTAGGCATATTATTTAAAGCTTATTTTCCTAGATTTTGTGATTTTGTAGCACTAGTGGAATTAAAAATTTATAATGGGCTGAGGAGTGCTTTACTTCCAACTATGTGGTCAATTTTGGAATAAGTGCGATGTGGTGCTGAGAAGAACACTCCTCAGCAAATGTAAAAGAACATAAATTGTAACAAACTGTCTCTCAGACCACAGGGCAATCAAACTAGAACTCCGGATTAAGTAACTCACTCGAAACCACTCAACTACATGGAAACTGCACAATCTGCTCCTGAATGAATTACTGGGTACATAACGAAATGAAGGCAGAAATAAAGATGTTCTTTGAAACCCATAAGAACAAAGACACAACATACCAGAATCTCTGGGACACATTCAAAGCAGTGTATAGAGGGAAAATTATAACACTAAATGCCAACAAGAGAAAGCAGGACAGATCTAAAATTGACACCCTAACATCACAATTAAAAGAACTAGAGAAGCAAGAGCAAACACATTCAAAAGCTAGCAGAAGGCAAGAAATAACTAAGATCAGAGCAGAACTGAAGGAGATAGAGACACAAAAAGCCATTCAAAAAAATCAATGAATCTGGGAGCTGGTTTTTTGAAAAGATCAACAAAATTGATAGACCGCTAGCAAAACTAATAAAGAAGAAAAGAGAGAAGAATCAAATAGACGCAATAAAAAATGATAAAGGGGATATCACCACCGATCCCACAGAAATACAAACTACCATCGGAGAATACTATAAACACCTCTAGGCAAATAAACTAGAAAAATCTAGAAGAAATGGATAAATTCATGCAGACACACACCCTCCCAAGACTAAACCAGGAAGAAGTTGAATCCCCGAATAGACCAATAACAGGCTCTGAAATTGAGGCAATAATTAATAGCCTACCAACCAAAAAAAGTCCAGGACCAGACGGATTCACAGCAGAATTCTACCAGAAGTACAAACAGGAGCTGGTACCATTCCTTCTGAAACTATTCCAATCAATAGAAAAAGAGGGAATCCTTCCTAACTCATTTTATGAGGCCAGCATCACTCAATAGATGCAGAATAGGCCTTTGACAAAATTCAACAACCCTTCATGCTAAAAACTCTCAATAAATTAGGTATTGATGGGATGTATCTCAAAATAATAAGAGCTATCTATGACAAAACCACAGCCAATATCATACGGAATGGGCAAAAACTGGAAGCATTCCCTTTGAAAACTGGCACAAGACAGGGATGCCCTCTCTCACCACTCCTATTCAACATAGTGTTGGAAGTTCTGGCCAGGGCAATCAGGCAAGAGAAACAAATAAAGGGTATTCAATTAGGAAAAGAGGAAGTCAAATTGTCCCTGTTTGCAGATGACATGATTGTATATTTAGAAAACCCCATCGTCTCAGCCCAAAATCTCCTTAAGCTGATAAGCAACTTCAGCAAAGTCTCAGGATACAAAATCAATGTGCAAAAATGACAAGCAGTCTTATACATCAATAACAGACAGAAAGCCAAATCATGAGTGAACTCCCATTCACAATTGCTTCAAAGAAAATAAAATACCTAGGAATCCAACTTACAAGGGATGTGAAGGACCTCTTCAAGGAGAACTACAAACCACTGCTCAAGGAAATAAATGAGGACACAAACAAATGGAAGAACATTCCATGCTCATAGATAGGAAGAATCAATATCGTGAAAATGGTCATACAGCCCAAGGTAATTTATAGATTCAATGCCATCCCCATCAAGCTACCAATGACTTTCTTCACAGAATTGGAAAAAACTACTTTAAAGTTCATATGGAATCAGAAAAGGGCCCTCATTGCCAAGTCAATCCTAAGCCAAAAGAACAAAGCTGGAGGCATCATGCTACCTGACTTCAAACTATACTACGAGGCTATAGTAACCAAAACAGCATGGTACTTGTACCAAAACAGAGATATAGATCAATGGAACAGAACAGAGCCCTCAGAAATAATACCACACATCTACAACCATCTGATCTTTGATAAACCTGACAAAAACAAGAAATGGGGAAAGGATTCCCTATTTAATAAGTGGTGCTGGGAAAACTGGCTAGGCATATGTAGAAAGCTGAAACTGGATCCCTTCCTTACACCTTATACAGAAATTAATTCAAGATGGGTTAAAGACTTAAATGTTAGACCTAAAACCATAAAAACCCTAGAAGAAAACCTAGGCAATACCATTCAGGACATAGGCATGGGCAAGGACTTTATGTGTCTAAAACACCAAAAGCAATGGCAACAAAAGCCAAAATTGACAAATGGGATCTAATTAAACTAAAGAGCTTCTGCACAGCAAAAGAAACTACCATTAGAGTGAACAGGCAACCTATAGAATGGGAGAAATTTTTGCAATCTGCTAATCTGACAAAGGGCTAATATCCAGAATCTACAAAGAACTCAAACAAATTTACAAGAAAAAAACAAACAACCCCATCAAAAAGTGGGCAAAGAATATGAACAGACACTTCTCAAAAGAAGACATTGATGCTGCCAACAGACACATGAAAACATGCTCATCATCACTGGCCATCAGAGAAATGCAAATCAAAACCACAGTGAGATACCATCTCACACCAGTTAGAATGGTGGTCATTAAAAAGTCAGGAAACAACAAGTGCTGGAGAGGATGTGGAGAAATAGGAACGCTTTTACATTGTTGGTGGGACTGTAAACTAGTTCAACCATTGTGGAGGACAGTGTGGCGATTCCTCAAGGATCTAGAACTAGAAATACCATTTGACCCAGCCATCCCATTACTGGGTATATATCCAAAGGATTATAAATCATGCTGCTATAAAGACACATGCAAATGTATGTTTACTGTGGCACTATTCACAATAGCAAAGACTTGGAACCAACCCAAATGTCCATCAATGATAGACTGGATTAAGAAAATGTGGATTTTGGTCACAAGATGGCCGAATAGGAACAGCTCCGGTCTACAGCTCCCAGCGTGAGCTACGCAGAAGACGGGTGATTTCTGCATTTCCATCTGAGGTACCGGGTTCATCTCACTAGGGAGTGCCAGACAGTGGGCGCAGGCCAGTGGGTGCACGCACCGTGCGCGAGCCGAAGCAGGGCGAGGCATTGCCTCACCTGGGAAGCGCAAGGGGTCAGGGAGTTCCCTTTCTGAGTCAAAGAAAGGGGTGAGGGACACACCTGGAAAATCGGGTCACTCCCACCCGAATATTGCGTTTTTCAAACGGGCTTAAAAACGGCGCACCACGAGACTATATCCCACACCTGGCTCGGAGGGTCCTACGCCCACGGAATCTCGCTGATTGCTAGCACAGCAGTCTGAGATCAAACTGCAAGGCGGCAGCTAGGCTGGGGGAGGGGCGCCCGCCATTGCCCAGGCTTGCTTAGGTAAACAAAGCAGCAGGGAAGCTCGATCTGGGTGGAGCCCACCACAGTTCAAGGAGGCCTGCCTGACACTGTAGGCTCCATCTCTGGGGGCAGGGCACAGACAAACAAAAAGACAGCAGTAACCTCTGCAGACTTAAATGTCCCTGTCTGACAGCTTTGAAGAGAGCAGTGGTTCTCCCAGCGCGCAGCTGGAGATCTGAGAACCGGCAGACTGCCTCCTCAAGTGAGTCCCTGACTCCTGACCCCCGAGCAGCCTAACTGGGAGGCACCCCGCAGCAGGGGCACACTGACACCTCACAAGGCAGGGTATTCCAACAGACCTGCAGCTGAGGGTCCTGTCTGTTAGAAGGAAAACTAACAAACAGAAAGGACATCCACACCGAAAACCCATCTGTACATCACCATCATCAAAGACCAAAAGTAGATAAAACCACAAAGATGGGGAAAAAACAGAACAGAAAAACTGGAAACTCTAAAACGCAGAGTGCCTCTCCTCCTCCAAAGGAACGCAGTTCCTCACCAGCAACGGAACAAAGCTGGACAGAGAACGACTTTGACGAGCTGAGAGAAGAAGGCTTCAGATGATCAAATTACTCTGAGCTACGAGAGGACATTCAAACCAAAGGCAAAGAAGTTGAAAACTTTGAAAAAAATTTAGAAGAATGTATAACTAGAATAACCAATACACAGAAGTGCTTAAAGGAGCTGATGGAGCTGAAAACCAAGGCTCGAGAACTACGTGAAGAATGCAGAAGCCTCAGGAGCCGATGCGATCAACTGGAAGAAAGGGTATCAGCAATGGAAGATGAAATGAATGAAATGAAGCGAGAAGGGAAGTTTAGAGAAAAAAGAATAAAAAGAAATGAGCAAAGCCTCCAAGAAATATGGGACTATGTGAAAAGACCAAATCTACGTCTGATTGGTGTACCTGAAAGTGATGGGGAGAATGGAACCAAGTTGGAAAACACTCTGCAGGATATTATCCAGGAGAACTTCCCCAATCTAGCAAGGCAGGCCAACGTTCAGATTCAGGAAATACAGAGAACGCCACAAAGATACTCCTCAAGAAGAGCAACTCCAAGACACATAATTGTCAGATTCACCAAAGTTGAAATGAAGGAAAAAATGTTAAGGGCAGCCAGAGAGAAAGGTCGGGTTACCCTCAAAGGGAAGCCCATCAGACTAACAGCGGATCTCTCAGCAGAAACCCTACAAGCCAGAAGAGAGTGGGGGCCAATATTCAACATTCTTAAAGAAAAGAATTTTCAACCCAGAATTTCATATCCAGCCAAACTAAGCTTCATAAGTGAAGGAGAAATAAAATACTTTACAGACAAGCAAATGCTGACCGATTTTGTCACCACCAGGCCTGCCCTAAAAGAGCTCCTGAAGGAAGCGCTAAACATGGAAAGGAACAACCGGTACCAGCTGCTGCAAAATCATGCCAAAATGTAAAGACCATCGAGACTAGGAAGAAACTGCGTCAACTAACGAGCAAAATCACCAGCTAACATCATAATGACAGGATCAAATTCACACATAACAATATTAACTTTAAGTGTAAATGGACTAAATGCTCCAATTAAAAGACACAGACTGGCAAATTGGATAAAGAGTCAAGACCCATCAGTGTGCTGTATTCAGGAAACCCATCTCACATGCAGAGACACACATAGGCTCAAAATAAAAGGATGGAGGAAGATCTACCAAGCAAATGGAAAACAAAAAAAGGCAGGGGTTGCAATCCTAGTCTCTGATAAAACAGACTTTAAACCAACAAAGATCAAAAGAGACAAAGAAGGCCATTACATAATGGTAAAGGGATAAATTCAACAAGAAGAGCTAACTATCCTAAATATATATGCACCCAATACAGGAGCACCCAGATTCATAAAGCAAGTCCTGTGTGACCTACAAAGAGACTTAGACTCCCACATTAATAATGGGAGACTTTAACACCCCACTGTCAACATTAGACAGATCAACGAGACAGAAAGTCAACAAGGATACCCAGGAATTGAACTCAGCTCTGCACCAAGCGGACCTAATAGACATCTACAGAACTCTCCACCCCAAATCAACAGAATATACATTTTTTTCAGCACCACACCACACCTATTCCAAAATTGACCACACACTGGGAAGTAAAGCTCTCCTCAGCAAATGTAAAAGAACAGAAATTATAACAAACTATCTCTCAGACCACAGTGCAATCAAACTAGAACTCAGGATTAAGAATCTCATTCAAAGCCGCTCAACTACATGGAAACTGAACAACCTGCTCCTGAATGACTACTGGGTACATAACGAAATGAAGGCAGAAATAAAGATGTTCTTTGAAACCAACGAGAACAAAGACACGACATACCAGAATCTCTGGGACGCATTCAAAGCAGTGTGTAGAGGGAAATATATAGCACTAAATGCCCACAAGAGAAAGCAGGAAAGATCCAAAATTGACACCCTAACATCACAATTAAAAGAACTAGAAAAGCAAGAGCAAACACATTCAAAAGCTAGCAGAAGGCAAGAAATAACTAAAATCAGAGCAGAACTGAAGGAAATAGAGACACAAAAAACCATTCAAAATATCAATGAATCCAGGAGCTGGTTTTTTGAAAGGATCAACAAAATTGATAGACTGCTAGCAAGACTAATAAAGAAAAAAAGACAGAAGAATCAAATAGACACAATAAAAAATGATAAAGGGGATATCACCACCGATCCCACAGAAATACAAACTACCATCAGAGAATACTACAAACACCTCTACGCAAATAAACTGGAAAATCTAGAAGAAATGGATAAATTCCTTGACACATACACTCTCCCAAGACTAAACCAGGAAGAAGTTGCACCTCTGAATAGACCAATAACAGGAGCTAAAATTGTGGCAATAATCAATAGTTTGCCAACCAAAAAGAGTCCAGGACCAGATGGATTCACAGCCGAATTCTACCAGAGGTACAAGGAGGAACTGGTACCATTCCTTCTGAAACTATTCCAATCAATAGAAAAAGAGGGAATCCTCCCTAACTCATTTTATGAGGCCAGCATCATTCTGATACCAAAGCCGGGCAGAGACACAACCAAAAAAGAGAATTTTAGACCAATATCCTTGATGAATATTGATGCAAAAATCCTCAATAAAATACTGGCAAACCGAATCCAGCAGCACATCAAAAAGCTTATCCACCATGATCAAGTGGGCTTCATCCCTGGGATGCAAGGCTGGTTCAATATACGCAAATCAATAAATGTAATCCAGCATATAAACAGAGCCAAAGACAAAAACCACATGATTATCTCAATACATGCAGAAAAAGCCTTTGACAAAATTCAACAACCCTTCATGCTAAAAACTCTCAATAAATTAGGTATTGATGGGACGTATTTCAAAATGATAAGAGCTATCTATGACAAACCCACAGCCAATATCATACTGAATGGCCAAAAACTGGAAGCATTCCCTTTGAAAACTGGCACAAGACAAGGATGCCCTCTCTCACCACTCCTATTCAACATAGTGTTGGAAGTTCTGGCCAGGGCAATTAGGCAGGAGAAGGAAATAAAGGGTATTCAGTTAGGAAAAGAGGAAGTCAAATTGTCCCTGTTTGCAGACGACATGATTGTATATCTAGAAAACCCCATTGTCTCAGCCCAAAATCTCCTTAAGCTGATAAGCAACTTCAGCAAAGTCTCAGGATACAAAATCAATGTACAAAAATCACAAGCATTCTTATACACCAACAACAGACAAACAGAGAGCCAAATCATGAGTGAACTCCCATTCACAATTGCTTCAAAGAAAATAAAATACCTAGGAATCCAACTTACAAGGGATGTGAAGGACCTCTTCAAGGAGAACTACAAACCACTGCTCAAAGAAATAAAAGAGGATACAAACAAATGGAAGAACATTCCATGCTCATGGGTAGGAAGAATCAATATTGTGAAAATGGCCATACTGCCCAAGGTAATTTACAGATTCAATGCCATCCCCATCAAGCTACCAATGACTTTCTTCACAGAATTGGAAAAAACTACTTTAAAGTTCATATGGAACCAAAAAAGAGCCCGCATCGCCAAGTCAATCCTAAGCCAAAAGAACAAAGCTGGAGGCATCACACTACCTGACTTCAAACTATACTACAAGGCTACAGTAACCAAAACAGCATGGTACTGGTACCAAAACAGAGATATAGATCAATGGAACAGAACAGAGCCCTCAGAAATAATGCTGCATACCTACAACTATCTGATCTTTGACAAACCTGAGAAAAACAAGCAATGGGGAAAGGATTCCCTATTTAATAAATGGTGCTGGGAAAACTGGCTAGCCATATGTAGAAAGCTGAAACTGGATCCCTTCCTTACACCTTATACAAAAATCAATTCAAGATGGATTAAAGATTTAAATGTTAGACCTAAAACCATAAAAACCCTAGAAGAAAACCTAGGCATTACCATTCAGGACATAGGCATGGGCAAGGACTTCATGTCCAAAACACCAAAAGCAATGGCAACAAAAGAAAAAATTGACAAATGGGATCTAATTAAAATAAAGAGCTTCTGCACAGCAAAAGAAACTACCATTAGAGTGAACAGGCAACCTACAAAATGGGAGAAAATTTTCACAACCTACTCATCTGACAAAGGGCTAATATCCAGAATCTACAATGAACTCAAACAAATTTACAAGAAAAAAACAAACAACCCTATCAAAAAGTGGGCAAAGGACATGAACAGACACTTCTCAAAAGAAGACATTTATGCAGCCAAAAAACACATGAAAAAATGCTCATCATCACTGGCCATCAGAGAAATGCAAATCAAAACCACTATGAGATACCATCTCACACCAGTTAGAATGGCAATCATTAAAAAGTCAGGAAACAACAGGTGCTGGAGAGGATGTGGAGAAACAGGAACACTTTTACACTGTTGGTGGGACTGTAAACTAGTTCAACCATTGTGGAAGTCAGTGTGGCGATTCCTCAGGGATCTAGAACTAGAAATACCATTTGACCAACCATCCCATTACTGGGTATATACCCAAATGACTATAAATCATGCTGCTATAAAGACACATGCACACGTATGTTTATTGCGGCATTATTCACAATAGCAAAGACTTGGAACCAACCCAAATGTCCAACAATGATAGACTGGATTAAGAAAATGTGGTACATATACACCATGGAATACTATGCAGCCATAAAAAATGATGAGTTCATGTCCTTTGTAGTGACATGGATGAAATTGGAAATCATCATTCTCAGTAAACTATCGCAAGAACAAAAAACCAAACACCGCATATTCTCACTCATAGGTGGGAATTGAACAATGAGATCACATGGACACAGGAAGGGGAATATCACACTCTGGGGACTGTTGTGGGGTGGGGGGAGGGGGGAGGGATAGCATTGGGAGATATACCTAATGCTAGATGACGAGTTAGTGGGTGCAGCGCACCAGCACGGCACATGTATACATATGTAACTAACCTGCACAATGTGCACATGTACCCTAAAACTTAAAGTATAATAAAAAAAAAAAAAAGAAAAGCAAAAGTTAAAAAAAAAAAAAAAGAAAAAGTATACATTTTGAAGAACTGAAAAACCATTGTAACCACACTGTGATGGTAAAGTCCTGTAAAATCGGAATTATTTATACTACAGACTATGCTGCCTATTGTATTGACAGCTGTGCATTATCCTAGAGTCTCTTTGTGTGAATATGGTTAACTTTACACATCTAAAAGATAATATATTTTTTAAAGAATATATAAAAAAAAGAGAAAAGTGTCATTGCCAACCTTCAATAATTATTGTAACTATATATTCCTACTAAGAAATTTTTCACTAAAACTTGAATTGTTTCATATTTATGAGCTTATTGATCCAGCCACCTGGAGTTCTATTACTACTTATAATAATGATTTATTATATTTTTAAGAAAAATAAATAGAGCCACTAAGACCGCAAAAAAAAAAAAAAAAAGAAAATGTGGCACATATACACCATGGAATACTATGCAGCCATAAAAAATGAGTTCATGTCCTTTGTAGTGACATGGATGAAGCTGGAAACCATCATTCTCAGCAAACTATTGCAAGGACAAAAAACAAAACACCGCATGTTCTCACTCATAGGTGGGAATTGAACAATGAGAACACTTGGACACAGGAAGGGGAACGTAACACACTGGGGCCTGTCGTGGGTTGGGGGGAGGGGAGAGGGATAGCATTAGGAGATATACCTAATGTAAATGATGAGTTAATGGGTGCAGCACACCAGCATGGCACATGTGTACATATGTAACAAACCTGCATGTTGTGCACATGTACCCTAGAACTTAAAGTATAATAATAATAAAAAATTTATAATGGGGCCAGACATGTTGGCTCACACTTATAATGTTAGCACAATGCAGGCCGAAGCAGGCAGATCACTTGAGGTCAGGAGCTCAAGACCAGCCTGGCCAACATGGCGAAACCCTGTCTTTACTAAAAATACAAAAATTAGCTGGGTATGGTGGTGTGCACCTGTAATCCCAGCTTACTTGGGAGGCTGAGGCATGAGAATTGCTTGAACCCGGAAGGTGAAGATTGCAGTGAGCCATGATTGTGCCACTGCACTCCAACCTGGGTGACAGAGAGACTCTCTCACAAAAAATATGTATAATGGTGTGCTTTTAAAAATTTAAAATAGAAAATTTAACAAAGAACAGTAGAGGTAAATAGAAAACAAATAGTGAAATGGTAGATGAAAATGAAAACATATTCATAATTGCATAAAACTTCAAAGGCCTCCTGTTTTGTCCAACATGGTAGCCATTAGCCTTATGTCGCTATTTCAATTTAAAATAATTGAAATTTTAAAATCATTAAAAATTCAAGTCTTCATCAATATTAGCGACATTTGAAGTTTTCAATAGTGACCTGTGGCCAGTGGCTATCATGTAGTAACAGTGCAGAATAGAACATTTCCATCAACCCAGAAAGTACTGTTAAACCATATTTTCTAAATACCCCAATTAAAAGGCAGAGATTATCAGATTGGGTAAGAGAGCAGTATTAAACTATATGTAAGAAGCCCTCTTTAAATATAAAGGCACAAACAAGTTAAAATTAAAATATAGACACAAACATCCACAGACTTAATCCCTTGCCCCTTCAATCAAATTCCATCTCATTGAGGTCTATCTTAACAAATACATATAAAATTGCATTCTTTCACTCCCATAGTCTGATCTGTACCAATGCCTGTATCCTTTTATCTTTCATCTTGTTGATTTTATTTCTATAGTACTTTCAACAGCACTTCAAAATTACATGTATATAAAATTTTCTGTCTCTCCTCTCTAACAGGTAAATTCTATTAGAGTAGGTATCTTTACCCTTTTGTTTCAATCGCATATACTAAGGGGCCAGAACAGAGGCTAGAGAATAGTAGACACTCAATAAATATCTGTTACATCAACTAATTAATTTTCACACCTGAAGTTCAGCATATCATGTTGTTGGAGAAAAATATAGCTGTAATTCGAAGTATACATGAAGAATGCAATGAGAAATATGGCTGAATTAAGGCCTAATATGTCATGCAAATATATATTTTCTCTGTAGTAAAAATTTCATTTTCCTAGAAAGTTATACATTAAATATATTTATTAGAAAAAATACTTACCTGAATTTTTGTAAAGATGCATTAAAAAAACAAGATATAAGTAAAGGTTTAGTAGATTTTCAATGGGAATTTAGGGACCCAGGGGTAAAAAGAAGAGTGGAAATAGCAGTGAGGCATGAGTGTATGACCATCTGCTTGCCTTTAGAATTCTTGAGACTCCTTAGAGATGGAGCTATTGGCAAGGGCTGAAAATAAAAATATATTGTATTTTTCTAAATAAATTATCAAATCAGAATTGGAGATCCTCAGTACAAATAACATAAACGGGTGGTAACCTGGAGGGAATACCTCAAATCCTATTTTGAATCCACTGGAAGTCATCCAGTAAGCCATTGAGTCAGGGAGGATTGTGGGTACTGCTTGCTGTCTCAAGTGTCAGCGTCTATTCACGGTGAGAAGGCAGTTTAAGGGCTTAATTATGATGGAAAGTTTACCTGACAGAGATATATTTTCTTTCTTTTTGCCCATCAACAAATAAAAATAGAGGGGGAGATTAGAAGATCTATGAGTTTGTGGCTTTTTTTGCCTTTTTCATCTGATGAAATTTGTTTCTTTCCTATTGAACAAATAAACTGTCCCTGAAAAACCATTTGTCATCCATGAAAAAGAATAATGATAATGTCTTTGAAAAATTCTAATGAAATGATTAGCAAATACAACAGGAGAATTAACAGAGACGGCAGCATCAGAAATGTGGAGGAGGAACTGTAAAAAAGCTCAAGCACTCTTCACTATTGCTCCTCTACCAGTGGGGATGATGACGACTGTTACTTGCCCAGAAAGTTATTTGCCTCAGTGCACAGGCCCTCTCTTGACCCTGTGGTGGTAGGAGGCTTAAGGTTCGATTTGCTTTATACTCAGAGCAATACTCAGACTCATTTATTTTTACTCATTGGCAGACAAGTGTCTTTAGCCTGAGTGTGTGTGCTTTATCTTGACCACTGTTTATGGGCTGAAAGAATTCTGTAGAAGCAGCCTTCTATACCAAGAGAAAGTACTGCACCTTCACTTGTTTACTTCTTCTTTTTATGGGTGGAATGAAAAGTGTCAGCACCTCTGAATTATTAAGCTATTAATAAAGCATCATAGTGTTCAGAATATTTTGTTATATGCCATGATGTTTGGAGATAGATGGAATGCTTTAATTTAGATTATAATCTTGATACCCACGCTTGATCAAGATATTTGCCTCAATTATAGAGCTTTATTGGTCCATTCTCACACTTCTATAAAGACGTACTTGAGACTTGAAGGGTCCAGCCCTATGGGGCTTAGCAGGTGTTCTCCCCATGTGCGGAGACGAGAGATGGTAAGAAATAAAGACACAAGACAAAGAGATAAAGAGAAAACAGCTGGGCCCGGGGGACCACTACCACCAAGATGCGGAGACTGGTAGTGGCCCCGAATGGCTGGGTGCGCTGATATTTATTACATACAAGACAAGGGGGCAGGGTAAGGAGGCTGAGTCATCTAAGTGATTGATAAGGTCAAGAAAGTCATGTGATCATGGGACAAGGGACCCTTCCCTTTTAGGTAGCTGAAGCAGAGAGGGAAGGCAACATATGTGAGCATTTTCTTCTATGCACTTATCGGAAAGATCAAAGACTTTAAGACTTTTACTATTTATTCTACCCCTATCTTCTAAGAACTTTCAAGAGGAACCAGGAGTATGGGAGGAACATGAAAGTGGACAAGGAGCATGACCATTGAAGCACTGCACCACAGAGAGGGGTTTAGGCCTCT